>NC_000015.10:84320066-84471581 GCF_000001405.40 Homo sapiens | reverse complement strand
ATTCAATGCTGTAGGCAGTAGGGAGCCATGGAAGGCTCTTAGGTGGAGAAATGACAGCCGGACATTAGTGAGCAAGCCCTGTCTCCCTGAGCAGCATGGGTGGTCCTCTGAGCACGCCAGGCACGAGTGTGCAGGGAGCTGGTGCAAATGCCTCTGTGTGCGGGTGAGCATCTGTGTTGTGACTCTGCCCACGCATGTGCTTCAGTGTGCCGAGTGGCTGCACGCCCCAGATCCATGCGGCACGTGCCGGCCGGTGAGGGTGCTGGGCACCGGGAGGTGGCGGAGAGGGCGACGTATGCGTGTTGTTTGTGGGCATGTGTTAGAGTGTGCATGCGGGCCGTGGGGCCTCACAGCATGTGTGTGCACAATCTGGCGTGTGCGTGTGTCCGCCACCCCCAGGCCTGCCCCACCCATGCATGGGACCTGCCATGTGATTTGATGCTGTCTTTCAGAATCACTATCAGTGGCCCCTGAGGAGCATCAGCCATGGTAGGTACATGCCTCACTGCCTGCTGCATGAATGGTCTGCCTGCCCCGCTGCCCCAGCTCCACACAGGGGGCATACCTGGAGCCTCAGAGCCAGGCTGCCTGCCCCTCCCTTCTAGAGCTGCAGACTTGCTCTTTCCTCTTTCTGTCCTTGTGCTGCTGGCTGTCTCACTTCCCTCCCTGCCAGCCACAGGACTCAGTGCCACTGCTCAAGGTCTCCATGGCTGAGCCTGGGGGCTCTTACAACAGGCTCCATGCCGAAGGTGGCAGATGTGGAACCATCAGAGAGGGCACAGAGCTCATGGTTTATGGTGTAGGGGCTGGGAGCTTGGAGGGGGTTGTGTGGGGGGCTGGACTCAGGCGGCCAGAGGCCTGGGCACATCATCCTGGGCACGCCGTACCTGTCATGCAGTCTGAGCCATGCTGCCAGGGCAGGTATCCAGCTCCCAGCCTGGGAGTGCCGAGAGCCAAATCCACTGCAGATTAGGGGTGATAGTCAGGGTCCCACCTCCTCTATCTGTCAGCAATCCAGTGGTGATCTAGGATAAAAGCCTGAGAGTCCAATACACACGGTTATCCCACAACACACTTCATAGGCCATGCAAGGACACACAGCCCCCTTCCCTCCCTCCCAGGTACCATCACAGCTGCTAGCGTGTGACTGAAGGCTGGGTCCCTGGCCAGCGCTACTGAAGCACTACTGCCAGCCAGCAGACTCACGGACCTTGGCCTGTTGCTCCTAGGGGTCACCTGTGCTATTCAGCCAAGGAGACCACAGTGCTTGCTGGCCCAGCTGAGCTCCGCCTAGCGAGCCCACCTGCCTTTCCTGCCACGGAGTCTCCCTCTTCTGCTTTTCCCAGCAGGAAGGGCCCAGCCTCACCTATGCAACCTGCAGCCCCCCGCCAACCAGTTGAGGCTCCCCTCTTAGACTTATAAGTCTACGGGCAGTGGCATCTAGCTACCTGCCCTCCCTGCCTTCCCCAGGGTCCCTTCAGTGGACCCTGGGCTTTCTGACTGCCCAGAGAGGGGCCTCTGGCGCTCACTCCAGCCCGCCATCCCTTATAGCTTCACCATTTTGGTTCAAGCAGTGTTCCTTCTGTCAGGCTTGGTGGCTGTTGGGTGGGGCTCCCCAAGCAAGAGGTGGCCCTGGGCCAGTGGGTTGGAAGATGGGGTGACCACAGAAGAGGGAAGCCGGGGGAGTTGAGCATTGGTCTGAACTGTGGGTGGACTGCCTGGGTGCCATGAGAGAGGCCAGTGTGTGTGGGGTGGGGAGGGCTGCCACAGCCCCCAGGCACTACCTATGAAGCTCTAGCTTCTCCCTCCATCTTCCTCCCCTTTCCCTTCCAGCCCCTCTTTTCCAGGAACCTTGCCACGCCCACACCTACGCCTTCCCCTTCCCGGCTCTCAGATGATGGTGGTGTTTATCTCCCTGTTCTCGGGAGCCCAAAAAGAATGGCATGCAGGGGTTGCTGCCCATGCCTGGGTGCTCCTGGGGAGTCCTGCATTACAGGAAGCAGCTGCTGGATCTGCTGTGCAGTGGGGTTGTCGTGGGGAGAACCCTCCCTGTCCTCTCCTGGTGCAGCCTCCACGCTATCAGTGAGGCTCACCTCACAAAGATCTTCAGAGAGAGGGAGGGGGGTGGGAATCTGAGCACAGTGCGAGCCTCCCCTGCTCCTGCCTGCCCACCCCACCTGAGGGCTCTACTCACCACCCTGCTCGTCAGCACACCCAAGCTCCTGGGCTACTGGGGCTCCTAGAGTGGGCTCATCAGCAGGGTTCTGGGCAATGGTCAAAATTTGCCATGCCCCTCCTTGTGGTCGCCCACAAGCTGCAACACCTGCCCCGCAGCTCCTGCAGGTTCACCTGGAGGAAGGGGTGTTAGCTGCCATGCCGGTGCCGGCACGCACGTTCACCCCCACCTCCACCCCCACCCCCACCGAGATGTTGCACACCCTACCTTCATCTCCTCCTGGTCCTGGGCCAGCCTGACGATGTCCTCCTCTCCCAGTGCTGCGTCTCTGACACTGCCCCCTGGCTGATGTACTTTCCTGCAGGAGGACATGGCTCAGATGCTGGGGCCCCTCGGATGGCCTGGCAGCTCCCCCCAGCGGTGCCCTAGCCTCTCGCTCACTATGGTGTCTGTCTGTCCTGAGAGGTGGATGAAT
The DNA here is from genome assembly GCF_000001405.40 of Homo sapiens. NCBI lineage: Eukaryota > Metazoa > Chordata > Mammalia > Primates > Hominidae > Homo > Homo sapiens. The sequence goes on along the minus strand of NC_000015.10, from coordinate 84,468,930 downwards.
TGAAGCTCTAGTTTCTCTACCCGCTCCTTCAGGTCCACCTTCTCCTTCCATAAAGTCGCTGTGGAGCCAAAATAATGGGGTCACATGTCAGGAGTCACCTGCCTTGTCCTGCCCCCCCGCCCCCCTTGTTGGCCCATGCCAGGACCTACTCACCTGCAGCTTCTCCATGGCCCCCTGCAGGGCCCGGTGGGTCTCCCCAAACACAGACTCACCCCCACTCTCTGGGGCTGGGGCCGCTACCTCTGGCTTCTTCTGGGACTTTGTTCCTCCTGGGCACTGGCTCCAGCGGAGTTGAAAAATGCCACCTGAAGACAAGAGGTGAGTATTCTTGTAGGGGTATACACATAACAACTGGGGCAGGCAGATGGAGCATAGCCCCTTCCTTTCGGGCCTCACAGAGTGCACCTGTTGGTCACAGGTGAAATGGTGTCTGACCACTGGCTCCCAGGAGGAGTGAAAGTCCACAGAAGTCAGAAGGCGGGGAAACCAAGAACATAAGGGGGTTTCGGAGGGACCACAGAGGAAGGTGGCAAAGTAGGGGCAGGGAAAGTCAGGCTCACCATGGCCTCCCGGCTCTCCAGGTCCCCTGGGATGTTCGGCATGGGCCGAGGCGCCTCCTGCTCACTGTCCAGATGTCCTCCTCCATCTCCTGTGGGGGGTGGCCAGAGGGGTCCTCAGACAACCCAACAAGGGAGGTACAGTGGGCCCGCCTCTGCCCCCACACTCACTGTGTAACCTTGAGCCAGCCCCTCCCCAGAGGGGAATGAGCTGTTCTTTATTTTGAATTTTAAGAACCAAGATCTTGCTATATTGCCCAGGCACAGTCCCACTACCGATTGGCGCAGGAATTCTGACCTGCTCCCCTTCTGACCTGAGCCAGTTCTCCCATCCTTAGGCAACCCGATGGCCCCCTGTTCCCAGGAGGTCACCATACTGATACTGAACTTAGTGCGGACACCTTGTCGGCATAATGACCGACACAAAATGCTTAAAAGGTAACCTGACTCTTTGTTCAGGGCTCAGTCCTTTAGATGTTAATCTGACTGGGCCAGTGCACCTAATAATATATATCCTCCTCAGTCTCTCTGATTCCTAAATTATGCTGCTGTACGGGGAGAGAGGCAGCAGGGTAGTGGAGTCATACCAAGCAACAAGACAGGGTAGTGGCCAGGCATGGTGGCTCACACCTGTAATCCCAGCAATTTGGGAGGCCAAGGCGGGTGGATCACCTGAGGTCAGGAGTTCGAGACCAGCCTGGCCAACATGATGAAACCCCATCTCTACTAAAAACACAAAAATTAGCTGGGCATGGTGGCAGGTGCCTGTAATCCCAGCTACTCAGGAGGCTGAGGCAGGAGAATTGCTTGAACCCAGGAGATGGAGGTTGCAGTAAGCCAAGATTGTGCCATTGCACTCCAGCCAGGGGGACAAGAGGGAGACTTCACCTCGAAAGACAGACAGACAGGCTAGTACGTTTTCCACAAATTTCAATTTTACTCTCTTCCCCCACCACACACACACACAAAGCATTTGAGGGATGGGAGGAAGAAACTGAGATCACAGGAAAAATTGTAAGAGACATTCAGAAGGACAGGTCTTAGAAATTTACTAGTTTTGGGGGGAGGTCAGAACAGGTGTATATAAAAGAATATTAAGACAGTTCCCAGGTTTAGGCATATGTGACTAGATAGAGTGCTAGGAGATGGATACGTGAAAATTTAAATATCATCATTTTGAACACCCATGTCACTCCAAGTGAGATTCCCTAAATATATGATATACAGACAGATATATGGGTTTGAAACTCTGGAGATGAATACAAATTTAGGAGTCCCTGGAACACAGGTCATGACTTAAGTAATGGGAGTCAAAGATTACTCAGAGAAAGCACAGAATGAGAAGAGAAGAAGTAGGACAAGGAAGAAGAGATCGGAGGAGACCAAGAAAGGGTGATAAGATCAAAACAGGAGAAAAGAATCCGACAGAAGTCTCATTTGATTATCATGTCCCTTCCCAGAGGACAGGGACATGTCTTTTTTGTCTTTTATACCCAATTATCACAGGTCCTGGTGCAGCAGACACACAGTTTTTTTTTTTTTAATTGTGTTGTACTATTCACAGTTTCCTGTATTCACCAGGGGAGAAAAAAGTAAGTATAAAGAAGCACAGACACAGATGTTTTTACACTGTGTACTAAAGGGGTCAGATTATACACAATATTTTATGCCTTACTTTTTTACTTAATATATCTTAGAAGTTTGCACGTGCTCTTATGGAAAGACTGGCTGCATTTTTTGGTCCACAACAGAACAACAGAATATTCTATTATAAAACGGTACACTATAATTTTTATTTAACCAACTCTTTATTGGTGGACATTAAGAATGGAGGAATGTTTCAACAAAGGAACAATCAACAGTATCAAAATACTGCAGAGGGGTCAATTTGGGGACTAAGAGGGGAGCCACTGGATTTGACAACTAGGAGATAAATTTTAGTGCAACGATGAAGGCAGAATCCAGAGTATAATGAGCTCAGTGAAAAAAGGTGAAGACATGTAGCTTATTCTCTCAAGAAACTAGGCTATGATAAACTGGCAGAGGCTCTAAGAGTGGGAGGTGAGTTGTTTTCTCCTTCATGTAAATATATTTACCTTTTAAACACTAGGCCCAATTTTATATCCTATTTCATTTAACTTTATGAACATATTTATGTATGTATGCATGTATGTATGTATCTCATGTGATGTTTTAGACACTGAAAAATAACTCATTTCTATTATAAAACTGATATCTTTAGATGTTCAGAAGCAACTTCCTAAAAGGAGGTAGCAGTAATGGAGCTATGTCTATCATTCTTTCCCATCAACCCCCTTGATGGAGATGTAAACATGTGTCCATCAAGCCTTTAATTTTTACCTCTTATCTTCATGGCTCTCCATACAAAACTTAACTCTTTTTTTTTTCTATTTGTATACGTATATTTATATGTATATCTATATCGAGAGAGAGAGAGAGAGAAAGAGTCTTGCTGTGTTGCCCAGGCTGATCTCAAACTCCTGGGCTCAAGCAATCCTCCCACCTTGGCCTCGCAAAGTGCTGGGATTACAGGCGTGAACCACTGTGCCCAGCCTCAGCCTTAACTCTTAAAATATCTTCAAACCAATATTCTTCTGTTCTAATTTTTAAGAATAGATGTGTTTAAACCAACTAACTTATTTTGACAAAAATTGGAGTTAAGACTCAGACTTCCTCAAATAGTTCTCCTAAAACCATTTACAGAATAATCTATCTTTTCAGTATTAAGTTAAAATACCACCTTTTCCTTATACTAAATTCTCGTTTGCATGACTCTGGTTCTAAACTTCCATTGCCTTTATCTGTCTGGCCCAGGGATAGTCCACAATATTTTATTTACTATCTGGTTGAAAGAGTCTATACTTTATTACTTTTTATTACTTATTCTTCTAAACAAATTTTAGAGTCGTTTTGTCAAGTGTCAAAAATAAATCTGCCAGAATTTGTACTGAAATTTGTGTGTGTGTATATATATAATACACACACACTATATATAAAATATAAAATGTATATATACAATTTATATATATAAATATTTATAAAATATGAAATATATATATATATACACACACACTTTTCTAGTTCTTTTTTTTTTTTTTTTTGAGACAGGGTCTCACTCTGTCACCTAGGCTGGAGTTCAGAGGCATGATCTCGGCTCACTGCAACCTCTGCCTCCCAGGCTCAAGTGCTCCTCCCACCTCAGCCTCAGAAGTAGTTGGAAATACAAGTGTGTGCCACAGACACCCAGCTAATTGTCATCTACCCGCCTCAGCTTCCCAAACTGTTTGGATTACAGGTATGAGCCACTGTGCCCAGCAGAAATTACATTTACAAATTAATATGAAGACATGGTGATAACTAACATATTTATAACATGAAATCTGCTCATCCAGGAACATAGAATGCAAATCTTTCATTCCACTCAGCAAAATTTTGTCCTGTCCTTGATAAAAGTCCTGCACATCTAAGTTTATTCCTAGGTATTTAATTTTTGCTGAAATACCTGAAAAAATACTTCATCACTATATCTTCTACGTGATTATAGCTAACACTGGGGAAGGCTATTGATTTTTATATAAAAGAACTTTTAACCACTAATCTTAAAAATTGTTTTTCTCAGTTGGTTCCTTTGGATATTTTTAGGTAAACAATCATGTCAACTGAAAATAATGATAAATTTTCTATAAAGACTATGACATCACAGGAAAATACAGTAAATACTTTTTAAAAGAATATAAAAGGGCCAGGCACAGTGGCTCACGCCTGTAATCCCAGCACTTTGGGAGGCCAAGGTGGGCAGACCATGAGGTCAGGAGATCGAGACCATCCTGGCTAACACGGTGAAACCCCATCTCTACTAAAAAATACAAAAAATTAGCCGGGAATGGTGGCGGGCGCCTGTAGTCCCAGCTACTGGGGAGGCTGAGGCAGGAGAATGGTGGGAACCCAGGAGGTGGAGCTTGCAGTGAGCCGAGATCACGGCACTGCACTCCAGCCTGGGTGACAGAGCAAGACTCTGTCTCAAAAAAAAAAAAAAAAAAAAAAAAAAAAAGAATATAAAACTATAGAGAATATGACCTCAACTATTAAGCATATGTGTAAGGGTTATGTATTTTAATAGCAAAGAAAAACTATATACTGGTAGAAAATGACCATCATGTCAACAGTCAATAGTGGTTATATTAGATAGAGAAATTATGGGAGACTTTAATTTTTTTCTTTTATCTTTTCTGTACTTTACCAATTTTCTCAACAATGGTTGCTTATGAGTTTTAAAATTAAAAAAAGGTTTTAAAAATTTTTCCAACATGGAAAGTTATATTTCTTTATATACTAAAACAAAAACAAAACTTTCTATTTGAATACCTATGGCAAAACCCTATCTCTACAAAAAATACAAAAAATTAGCAAGGTGGGGTAGTACACACCTGTAGTCCCAGCTACTCTGGAGGCTGAGGTGGGAGGATCACCTGAGTCCCCAGAGAATGAGGCTCCAGTGAGCCGTGATCATAGCACTGCATTCCAGCCTGGGAGACAGAGAAAGACCCCATCTCAAAAAAAAAAAAAAGAAAGAAAGCAAAAAGAAATATCCATAATGATCTGAAATGCCTATCTGTATGAGACTGTCCTTTGTTCACATTTTTTCAAGCAAATATCACACAATAAATTGAATGCAGGTACAAATGACATATCAAACATCAAAGAAATTTGCAAAGGACGTAAGACTGTACTACCTTGGGTTTAGAAATTTTCTTATCATAAAAGCATTTATAACAATATTTTGTGAGCTTTTAAGGAATATTTTAAGTATTTCTGATTTAATTTCTAGTGATAAATACCAATAGATATAACCTACATACACAAAAGCTCCTTGGGCCCTCAATATACTTTTAAGAGTGTAAAGGAATCCTGACCCCAAAACTTTGAGAACTGCTGCCTTCCCCTCCACTTTATTCCTTCCCTAGAATTTCTTCCTTGGAAGAAACATTCCTTTGCCATTCTATGTTAACTTACATAGTTCCATTGAGGCCAGTTTTGCTACCTCTCTCCCATCTTTCCACATCCCTCTCTTGACACAAAACCTGACCAAAGGACTCTACCGGCCCACCCCATTTCCAGTGATTAGCTGTCAGGTGGGCTAAGCCAAGAAAATCTGGGTTTTCCCTGACACTAGACCTCTCTTTCTGGGAGATACGGAATCACAGGGACAAGGCTGGCCCTGTCAGAACTCATCTTGTCTAAATGGGAAGAGGTTAGGCAAGTTTCTAGAATGCCAGACTGCTTTCTAGAAAGTCAAAGATAATTATACTTTCTGCCACGACTGTGAAAATGCCCATTTCATTGCACGCTTTCTAACATTTATACCAATCTGATAAATAAAAGCTGGTACCTAGAAGAAAAAAAGGCTGGGTATGGTGGCTCATGCCTGTAATCCCAGTACTTTGGGAGACCAAGGTGAGTGGATCACCTGAGGTCAGGAGTTCGAGACAAGCCTGGCCAACATGATGAAACCCCATCTCTAGTAAAAACACAAACATTAGCCGGGCATGGTGGCAGGCCCCTGTAATCCCAACTACTCGGGAGGCTGAGGCAAGAGAATCACTTGAACCTGGGAGGTGGAGGTTTTAGTGAGCCAAGATCATGCCATTGCCCTCCAGCCTGGGTGACAAGGTGAGACTTTGTCTCAAAAAAAAAAAAAAAGTTTCCATACAATATAATTTGTTCCATCTCTAAAAACCAATTCAGCAATAACTGAAAGCCACCACTTGGAAGGTTTCAAGGATTTAGCTCTACCTGTTGATGATGTCCAAAGCATTAGTTAAGGTAGAAAAAAAATATACACACACACACACACACACACACACACTCACCCCTATGTAGTCAGTACCAGGAAACACGAAAGACTAGATGGTACAGTCATCCAACACAAAGCACACAATAACTGAAGGCACTGTAGAGGAGTAACTTATGACACAGATCTACAATATTGAGTGAAAATGCAGATTACAAAAAAAAATCTGATTTTTTAAGGGAGAGGGAACACATACAAGCAAAGGAGAAAAGAGATGAGCAGATGACTGAAAGATACAAAATTCTGATAGTGGTACATTCTGAGTGGTAGAATTATCAGTATTATTTTCTAGTTTTGCCTAAAAATTTTCTAAATTTCTTAAGAACTTTTTGTTATCCATATTATCAAATATCCATCACCCCAGGAAACTTAACCTTGAGCACAAACTCTACAACAAGTTCAATGTTTGTTCAGTTTAATATTTAAGAGACAACCTATTTTGAAAGACATCTAAAATGATGACCAATATTTAAACCTATGCATTAATATTTTTCAATCATATCCTTCACATTTTGTAATTTTGATAAGGTTAAGCTTTAGATCCATCTTGAAAAGATAAGTTTTCTGTTTGTCTTTAAAATATGACCCACAATATGCCTGTTTTTAAACAGTGAATGATGCTCTAAAATCACAATATAAATTCAGGCAGTGCTCCTTACATGGAAAGTTTAAGTACTTCTAACACTGCTCTTTTTCACTTGTTATGAAAACACAGAACAATTATCTAAGCATCTAATTATTCAGGTCCTTTGTTTCTCCTCCAATCTATTAGTTTTATAGTAATTTTAGGGCCTGTGAGGATGAAGCTGTCTGTGACAGCTACCACAAAGGTTACTATAGGTGGACAAATTTCAAACAAGTTTATCACCACTACCATCCCCACCATAAAACTGTCTCAATCAAGGGCAACACAATTCAATATTAGCCAAGACAACCTCTTTACCTGTCACTGCTTAAGAAAAGGATTTTTGGTCTTATTTAGAAATAACTTTCTGTACCTATTTTTCTCCATAAATCCACTGAGACCAATGTGTGGCTCTATCTCAAGCACCAGCAAGCAAAACTGCCTGCTAGAAGGTTCAGTTTTTGTATCTTTCCAAATGTAGAACACAGCTATCTTCAAGGATTTCATAATTTTTTGAAAATTGATGCACAAACTTCTTGAAAGTTCAGAGACACAGCAGCTGTAATTCTTCTGAAGGCTGGTTATGGGACACATTACCTTCATACTTTGCTGTTTAAGAAATGTGGGGTGGAGAATCAAGTAAACTGATAGAATTTCCATATAAAATTCTAAGTGCTCTGAGAACAAAAGAAACTTAAAATACACACACACACACACACACACACACACACACACACACACACACACACGGTTTTCCCTACTAATCATTTTACAACTAAACAACCAAGTTGCTAAACCAGAGCCCACAAAAGCAGAGTCAAAGTTCTAACACTTGGTAAAAGAAAAATGCACACATACCCCTGTGAGCTAAAAAAAAATGCTTAAGTATTCAAAGACAGCAATTACAGCTACTGAGAACATCACTGTAAGCAAACTGAGGCAGAGAAAACAAACGTGCTGATGAGGATTTGAACCACCTAAGCTGCAGAAACCCACTGGATGGTTTCCTAGGTTCCGAGTTGGCATTATCTTTCAGAACAATCTTCTAGAAGAGATCACATAACACTGTTACAAAGGATCTGGAGAAAGGGACCCTGGCTTCATCACTGTGGCTCTCCAGTCATGCTTTACATTTGGCAGTGACTATCTCCATTCAACTCAATTCCCTAACCCTAAACTAGCTGACATTTATCAAATACTGCCCTTTACCAGGTCTAAGTAAGTTTAACTCCCCCCACCCCCACCAAAAAAAATTCAAGATACTAAGGGATATACTATTCACAAAAGGGAAACCTGTCTCCTCTTCATATACCTGTTCCTTTCAAGGAAGGGTATAAAAATGGGGATGAGGGAGGATAACCACTAGGAATTTGACCCTATATTATAAATTGGTCAGATAAATGAAAATAATTCCTCTGGACTCAAAGTGATATGGCTCTGAAAACGGGAGAAACATCGGGGTCCTTTGTCTCACGCCAGTTAAACGACATGGACACACAGGAGTGGTTTTAAGGAGCAGAAAGTTTAATAGACAAGAAAGAAGAAAGGCTCCCTGCGGTACAGAAAAAGGGGGTCTGAACAGAGAAAAAGCCCCGTGTGTGGCAGAACAGTACTCGGTTATATTGGGAGGCTGGAGGAGGTGGTGTCTGATTTGCACAGGGCCCAGGGCATTGGTTTGACCAGGCAGGTCATTCATGTAGCCCGAGAAAAACGTGGCCCTCCCACCCTAGCCTTTTAATATGCAAATGTAGGTCACCATGTTGTCCTGCACACATGGGGTCATCTGGAGGTGTCACCTTGAGGTGGTGACTAGAAGAAGAGGGTGGGAATCTCCATGTTGAATGGACACAGTTTCTAAGCGCTGGCATTTGCATATCAAAGCTTGGCAGCCTGTAGTCCCAGCTACTCAGGAGGCTGAGGCAGGAGATTCACTTGAACCTGGGAGGCAGAGGCTGCAGTGAGCTGAGATCACACCACTGCACTCCAGCCTGGGTGACAGAGCGAGATTCCGTCTCCAAAAAAAAGATAAAAAGAAAAGAAAAAGAAATGTTTCTGGAGTTGTTTCTATTAAAAGGGAAAGCCTTACTGAGGCCTCCTTACCCTCTCTATCTGCCTAGTATAATTTCTGAATAACTCCTCTATTAAAAGTACCACTGAGGTGCTTAATATGACATTTCTGATATTTCCCAATGCTCCTCCACAAATTCAATTTGGAAAGGTAATCTGTTCCAGGAGGGCAAACCAAAGAAAAAGTCCTAGGCTCCTGAGTCAAGGCTTGTTTCTTTCCTTTGTACAAGCTGACTACTTTTTAATCATAGTAAAAATGAGAAAAATGCAAGATGAAGTTAACAGCATTGCTTTATTTCCCATGAAAAGCTGTTATAAAGCATTCTCAAAATAAACTGTTATTCAGCCACAAATGACACCATCACTTTTTTATTCATAGGGCACAGTATCGCTGCCAAAGAGCTTTCCTCTATATGCTCTCTTGCAGGGCAAAAAATATTATCTATGTTATACAGAAACACAGTAAAAAAAGTGATTTACTTAAGGTCCTAACTACTAAATAAAAGCTAAACTACTCACTTCCTCCTAGATTCAGAGAGAGCTCCAACATTTTCTAAAATTTGGTATCTTGTTGTTGGGGTAGGCACTTTTTGGCAATAATGAATAGACATTTAATTAGCCAATCAAAAAAACTTATTAGGTACAGTAAGTTCCTCTTCAAAGGTTTAACCTGTTCAACTTCCTTGTTCTTTGTTCCTAAGAACAATTTCCCTGTACCTTCTCACCCCTATTTACCTGCTTAGTTATCTGCTCAGTTACCTGCCTTGTAAACAACTCTTCCCATCAGTCCCAACCTGTAACTCACATTCCCTCTCCCTTCCTTATTAGGGAGAATATTCGCGATAGCAAATCAAGTCTGCTTAGATTGTGTAGTCCGACTCCAGCCCATGTGGGAATGACAGAGAGGTAGGGACTGCGTTAGGGATATAAACTCCTGCTCTATCCCGCTCGGTGTGCTCTTGCATTCGTGACTAATGCAAACAGCACTCTTTTGCAGAAGTAAGTTGTCTTGCTGAGAAAACTTTTTTTCCTGAGTGCTGGTTCTTCCTTGCAGCACTGATCATTTGTTTCTTTTTTCTTTCTTTTTTTTTTTTTTTTTTGAGACAGAGTTTCGCTCTGTTGCCCAGGGTGGAGCACAGTGGCTTGATCTCAGCTCACTGCAAGCTCCACCTCCCAGGTTCACGCCATTCTCCTGCCTCAGCCTCCTGAGTAGCTGGGACTACAGGCACCCACCACTGCGCCCAGCTAATTTTTTTGTATTTTTTTTTTTTTAGTAGAGACGGCATTTCACCATGTTAGCCAGGATGGTCTCGATCTCCTGACTTCATGATCCGCCCACCTCGGCCTCCCAAAGTGCTGGGATTACAGGGGCGAGCCACTGCGCCCAGCCTGATCATTTGTTTCTAACAATCTGGGGGCTCGTCCGGAATTCCCATTCTCCTCTGAGAAAAGGGTCTCCAGTCACCAATAGTGAGGAGAAGCATCCCACTGCCTCATTGAGGTGGCCTCATGGTGAGGGATCAGGACCCACCCAGTGTGATGAATAAACCCGGACTCTCAGCAGTCTGGAAAGGAACAGACCAACAACTTAAGAGAAAAGGATCCTCACATACCATGGTGACCAGGTAACTATGTGCACAGACCAACGTAAGAAACATCACAAGAGCGACAAAGTATTTTCTTGGTGGTTGGGATATCTTGGAGATTGAAAGTGTGTGTTGAGACTCACAATTGAGTGCAAAGCAAGTGTTCAGTCCAGATCTGCAGTTCTGTGGTCACCTTATACAGCTTAAGGTAGCCCTTCTGTAAAGGAGTCTGGGTCAGGGGTTTCTACTGAAACAGCCATTGCTAAGAGGAAACCAACGTTCCCGTGAGGGAAGCAGCCAGAGAAGGATGAAGCGAAAGGAGAAAAGTGCAAGAAACCTCCAGCAGGGGGGTTGAGCCTCTAGGAAAGGAAAGGAAAGGAAAGGAAAGGAAAGGTGAGAAATCTCCAGTAGGAGAGGTTGAGCCTTATACAAACCTCTCGTAACTGGGAAGAAATTTCTAGTAGGGGAAATTGAGCCTCACCCCAATCCCTTTTCAAGATGGGAAATACCTCAAGTAATGCAGGGGAGAAAAAGGATAAAGCTAGCAACAATAACATTCCTCCTGATAGTCCCCTAGGGCTTATGCTAAAATATTGGAAAGAGAGTGAAAGGACTAAATACAAGAAAAAGCAGCAAATGATAAAATATTGTTGTTTCATTTGGACTCAGGAATCAATCCTGAAAAGCAAGTCAGAAATTAACTCCTCTGAGAAAGATAAGGTCCCTGTTCCTAGACAGCTCACCAACACATGGAACTTCCTCCACCACCTTCCCCCGTCCAATACCCCTAACCTCCCTCCCCCTCAAGCAGAGGCAGTTGTCCCAGACCCTTCTCCTACCCACATTGTTCCCCCTCTTTATAACCCTGCCTCTTGGGAATTGTCCCAACAGCCTGCTCACTATCACCCTAAGTACTCTTCCCTGAAAGGACTTCAATGTGAGATAGAGCAATGTAAAAGGGATATTCAGAACTTCCCCTTCCCCTCTACCTCGGGAGAATTAGCTCCACCTCTCTTCCCCTGAAGAGAGGTGTCCCTACGAGGAGGAGGTATTCACTTTGTAAATGCTCCTTTAACCAGCTCGGAGGTCCAAAACCTAAAAACAGAGTTCAAGCCACACTATTAGACAACTCCAGTGGAATAGCAGATCGAATTAACCAATTTCTAGGACCACAGTTATATATACTTGGGCTGAGTTAATGTCCATCCTAGGCATCCTTTTCTCAGGGGAAGAAAGAAGCATCATCTGTAGAGCTGCTATGGTAGCCTGGGAACATGAACACCCTCCTGGCCAAAACATTCATGCAGCGGATCAAAAATTCCCCAACCAAGACCCCTGCTGGGACAATAATAACGCAGCCCACTGAAGAGGATACGCAAGAACTTAGGGAAATGATAATAAAAGGGATTCGGGAGTCAGTACTCCGAACCCAAAATCTTACTCGAGCATTCGACATACAACAAAGGAAAGATGAAGGGCCTATCGAACTTTTAGACAGGTTGAAAGAACAAATGAGAAAATATGCTGGCCTAGATTTAGAAGATCCTCTTAGGCAGTGAATGTTAAAGCTTCATTTTGTTACTAACAGCCAGATATCACAAGGAAATTACAAAAGATAGGAAATTGGAAGGACCATCCCACGAACGAGCTTCTTAGAGAAGCTCAGAAAGTGTGTGTAAGGAGGGATGAGGAGAAGCAAAAAGAAAAAATGAAAATTATGTTATCCACCTTCCAACAGGGGGCCCCAAAGGATAAAACACACCAGTATTACTCTCTGTTACCCAGAGACCCACACACTCCCAAACAAAGCCTCCCGAGAGCCAAAACCTATAAAGATCCTAGGCCCCCACTTCCTAAGCCATATAAAGAACATAAGGAGGCAAAGCCGAGAAACCCAAAAATAGAGAGAAGAGACAGAATCAATGCTTCAATTGTGAGAAAGTAGGCCACTTCAAGAGGTATTGTCCCAAATTAAAATCAGAAAGAGAAGTCGTCCCACTTACGACCTTTGAGGAGGAATAGGGGGGTTAGGGGCTCTGTCTCTTTTACCTTGAATCCCACCAAGAGCCCTTGATAAATTTAGAAGTGGAACCCAAATCTGAGCTTATGACCTTTTTAGTAGACTCAGGAGCAGCCTGCTCCTCTGTTTGTTACCTTCCCCCACAATATAACCTGGTCCTCAGAGGAGCTTGTAGTCTCAGGGGTAAAAGGAGAGGGAATCAAACTAAAAATTTTAAAAGAAACAGAAATTAGATGTAAAAACTGCTCAGCTAATGTTGAATTTTTGTTAATTTCAGAGGCAGGAACTAATCTATTAGGAAGAAACTTAATGTTAAAATTAGGTATAGGTTTACGTATTGGCTCAGAAGGATTCTACACTTCATTAAACCTGCTCACCACTGCAGAAGAAACATACATTCATCCTGATGTTTGGGCAAGGGAAGGAAATTGGGGAAAACTCCAAATTCCCCCTATACATATAAAGTTAAAAACCCCTGGAGAAATAGTAAGAAGAAAGCAATATCCTATTCCTTTAGAAGGCAGAATAGGCCTGAAACCTGTAATTGAAAGCCTCATCAAGGATGGGCTCCTTGAACCCTGTATGTCCCCTTATAACACCCCAATACTGCCTGTGAAGAAACCAGATAGGTCATGTCGACTAGCATAAGACCTCTGGGCCATCAACCAGACAGTCTAGACTACCCATCCTGTTGTCCCTAATCCTTAAACCATTCTCAGTAAAATTCCATATGAACATCAATGGTTTACAGTAATAGGTTTAAAAGATGCCTTTTGAGCATGCTCCTTGGATGAGGACAGCTGAGACATTTTTGCTTTCGAATGGGAAGATCCCCATTCTGGATGACAGCAACAGTATCGATAGACAGCTCTACCCCCGGGCTTCACAGATTCCCCTAATCTCTTTGGTCAAATTCTAGAACAAGTGTTAGAACAAGTTTATACCCCAAAATGTATATGTCTGCTCCAGTACGTAGATGACTTATTAATATCCGGTTAGGCTATAGAAAAGGTATCTGCTTTCTCCATCCATATCCTTAACCATTTGTAAGGAGAGGGGCTATGGGTTTCAAAGAGAAAGCTTCAATTCATAGAGCCTGAAGTTAAATACCTAGGACACTTAATAAGTAACGGCAAACGAAGGATAGGGCCTGAGAGGGTTGAAGGGATTGTATCCATACCTTTGCCTAAGACTAAACAAGAACTCAGAAAATTCCTAGGGATAGCCGGATATTGCCGCTTATGGATTGACTCATATGCCCTTGTCATAAAGCCTCTCTACCTAAAAATCACCCAAGAAAAGCCTGACCCTCTCCTCTGGACTTCTGAAGAACTCCACCAGGTTGAGGAGCTAAAACATCTGCTTATAACTGCCTCTGTTTTAGCTTTGCCTTCCCTAGAAAAGCCATTTCACCTTTCTGTTAACATAAATAAGGGGGTAGCTTTAGGGGTCCTTACCCAAGAACACGGAGGTCACCAGCAACCCATGGATCTCCTATCAAAAGTTTTAGATCCAGTAACCTGTGGATGGCCTGAATGTTTCAATCCATTGCAGCTACCGCCTTGTTAACTAAAGAAAGCAGAAAACTAACCTTTGGGGGAAAGTTAGTTGTAAACATGCCCCATCAGGTTAGAGCCATCTTAAATTAAAAGGCAGGAAGGTGGCTTACTGACTTGAGAATTTTAAAGTATGAAGCTATCCTGTTAGAAAGAGATGATTTAACACTAACCACTGATAATTCACTTAACCCAGAGGTTTCCTGACTGGAGATTCAAATCTAAAGAGACCTGAGCATGAGTGTTTAGATTTAATGATCATACAAAAGTTAGGCCTGATTTAAGAGAGACCCCTTACAAAACGGGGCAGGGCTTCTTTATAGATGGCTCTTCCCAAGTAATTGAAGGAAAAAGGCGTAATAGGTACTCAGTAGTAGATGGGGAGGCACTTGAAGAAGTAGAGTCAGGAAGCCTGCCAAATAATTGGTCTGCCCAAACATGTGAATGAATTGTTTGCATTAAATCAAGCCTTAAAGCACTTGCAAAACCAAGAACGGACTATTTATACTGATTCCAAGTATGCCTTTGGGGCAGCTCACACCTTTGGAAAAATTTGGACTGAACGAGATCTTATTAATAGCAAAGGCCAAGACCTGGGCCACAAAGAATTAATCACCCAAGTATTAGATAACCTGCAGCTGCCAGAATAGCTATTGTCCATGTTCCAGGACATCAGAAAGGTCTTTCTTTTCAAAGCGGAAGGAATAACCTAGCAGATCAAATAGCCAAACACACTGCCGTTTCCTCTGAAAATGCCTGTTTTTCACTTAGCCCCTTGCCTTCCTCCCTCGACTGCAGTCCCCATCTTTTCTCCCGCTGAAAAGGAAAAATTAATAAAAATAGGAGCCAAAGAAAATTCAGAAGGGAAATGGGTGTCACCAGACCAAAGAGAAATGTTATCCAAACCCCTCATGAGGGAAATCCTCTTTCATCTGCATCAAGGGACTCATTAGGGACCTCAAGCTAAGTGTGATGCAGTCCTCGGGGTCTACAGATGTATAGGAATTTACATTTTGGCAAGACAAGTTACAGATAGTTGCCTAGTATGTAAGAAGACTAATAAGCAGATCCTCAGAAAACCACCTGTTGGAGGGAGAAATCCAGGATTAAGGCTGTTCCAAATTGTCCAAATTGATTATGCCGAAATGCCCCCAATTGGTCACTTAAAATATTTATTAGTGATAGATCACCTTACTCATTGGGTAGAAGCTATTCCCTTTTCAAGTGCAACTGCTAGTAATGTACTCAAGGCATTAGTTGAAAATATTATACCCAGGTTTGGATTAATAGAAAATGCTGATTCAGACAACAGGACTCATTTCACTGCACATGTTCTTAAGAAACTAGCCCAAGTACTAGATATAACATGGGACTACCATAACCCCTGGCACCCACCTTCATCAGGAAGAGTAGAAAGAATGAATCAGACTCTGAAAAACCACCTAACCAAATTAGTCCTAGAGACTCGGTTGCCATGGACTAAATGCCTCCCCATGGTCTTGTGAAGATTCCAAACTGCCCCTAGGAAAGATGTCGGCTCACCTCCTTATGAAATGCTGTATGAGTTGCCTTATCTACACTCCACTGCTGACATTCCTCGTTCGAAACAAAAGATCTGTTTCTCAAGAACTATATACTTGGTCTATCCTCCACTTTCTCTTTCCTTAGGACTAAAGGCCTCTTGGCACATACACCACCCCTTGAATTTCCAGTTCACCACCACCAGCCCGGACAGTGACCACATTCTCATCAAAGGTCAGAAAGAAAGGAAGCTCAAGCCCACCTGGGAGGGACATTATCTAGTGTTTCTAATGACTGAGACAGCCGTCCACACCACTGAAAAAGAATGGACTCACCATACCTGAGTCAAAAGAGCACCACCCACTCCAGAATCATGGACAGCTATTTCAGGGCCAATTCCAACCAAGTTAAAGCTAAAACGGGTTTGATCCTCTTATGCTATATTTCTTTTCCCCTTCTATTGCTAGTCCTCTCGTTATTAATGTAACTAGGTCGAGCTCACCCCAAACTATTACCTTTGATGCTTGCCTTGTTATATCCTGTGGAGCTCTCCAAAGTCAAAAGCAACTCTCAGCCTCAGAGAAGTATCTCCGTCCCTTTCAGACAAAAGCCTCCCCCATTACGACTCTTGTTCCTTAAGAAATGTAGGGAAACAGGCCTGCCACAGCTGGAATGATATTATGTGGACAACTGAACATCAGGGCTTTGTCAACAGGCAGTTGTAAGTCTCTAAAACCATGTTTGCTTTGTTAAAGGAAACATTCCCCACCCCCTGACTGCCAGTATAACCAATGTAATCCAGTGCAAATTTCTATTCTTATCCCCACTTCTGCCAACCCTAAACCTACTTTAAGTCGCTTATACGGCATAGGAGCCAAAATAGCAGGGACACATCTTATAGAATCCTTTGAAATGCATTTCATTACTTTCTCACCTCCTCCACCTCCTTCTACACTCTCTCTCAACGAAACCGCTGTTCTTCCTTCAACCAAGGATAAAATCAAGGTAAGCCATTGTAGAAGTTAAAAATTTGAAACAAACCATAGCAACTGAGACAGGGTACCAAGATGCAAATGCTTGGTTAGAATGGATTAAATATTCTGTCCGCACTCTAAACAAAAGCAACTGTTACACTTGTGCGCACAGTAGGCCAGAGGCCCAGGTTGTCCCCTTTCCACTCGGATGGTCTTCCAGCCAACTGGGCATGAGCTGTATGGTAGCTCTTCTCCAAGACCCCACAGCCTGGGGTAATGAATCTTGCCAAGCTCTCTCTCTGCTATTCCCTAAAGTCCAACACCCTGCAGGTCAGTCCCTGAGGGCCATCCAGCCTCCATCTATTGACACCAATTTTTACCTCGGGTCTCTCACAACAAGGGGAAAACTTGGCATTTCATGAAGACCTAAAGGGATGCGGTGAACTTAAACTCTCCCAAGAGCTTACCAGTCAGTCTGCCCTTGTTCATCCTCGAGCATACGTATGGTGGTATTGTGGTGGACCCTTACTGGACACTCTGCCAAGTAACTGGAGTGGTACTTGTGCTCTAGTCCAACTGGCCATCCCTTTCACCCTAGCATTCCATTAACATAATAGAAGAGAAAATCAGAAGAGAAGAAGTGACCTTCATGGGTCCTTTGACTCCCACGTTTATAAAGATGCTACTGGAGTTCCACGAGGGGTACCAGATAAATTTAAGGCCCGAAATCAAACAGCTTCAGGATTTGAATCTGTGCTGTTTTGGTGGTCAACTGTAAATAAAAATGTAGATCGGATAAACTACATTTATTACAACCAACAAAGGTTTGTTAACTACACAAGACATGCCATTAAGGGAACAGCCTCCCAATTAGGTCCCATTAACTAAATAGTCTGGGAAAACAGGATAGCCCTAGATACGATGCTAGCAGAAAAAGGTGGTGTCTGTGTCATGATTGGAGTCCAATGATGTACTTTTATTCCTAATAACACAGCCCCTGACGGAACAGTAACAAAAGCTTTGCAGGACCTAACCTCCTTATCCAATGAGTTAGCAAGCAATTCTGGAATAAATGATCCCTTTACAAGTTTAATGGAGAAATGGTCTGGAAAATGGAAAGGCTTAATGTCCTCAATATTTACTTCTCTTGCAATCGTTATAGGTGTGCTTATTCTTGTTGGATGCTGTATCATACCATACATTTGTGGACTACTGCAAAGACTCATAGACACAGAACTTACCAAAACCTCTCTTAGCTCTCCTCCACCCTATTCAGATAAGCTTTTCCTTCTAGAAAACCAAGCAGAACAGCAAAGCAAAGACATGCTAAAAAAGTTTGAAGAGGAAGAATTACAAAAATTAAGAGGGGGGAATTGTTAGGTACAGTAAGTTCCTCTTCAAAGGTTTAACTTGTTCAACTTCCTTGTTCTCTGTTCCTAAGAACAATTTCCCTGTACCTTCTCGACCCTACTTACCAGCTTAGTTACCTGCTTAGTAACCTGCCTTGTAAACAACTCTTCCTACCAGCCCCAATCTGTAACTCACATTCCCCCTCCCTTTCTTATTAGAGAAAATATTCACAATATCCAGCTGAGTCAGCTAAGATTGTGCAGTCCTACCCCAGCCCATGTTGGAATGACACAGAGGTAGGGAGTGCATTAGGGATAAGAACCCCTGCTCCACCCCGTTTGGTGTGCTCTTGCAATCATGACTAATGCAAGCAGCATACTTGCAGAAGCAAATTGTCTTGCTGAGAAAACTTTTTTGCCTGAGTGCTGCTTCTTCCTCACAGCACCAATCATTTGTTTCTAACAATCTCGCTAAAAGCAGCCTAGAAAGCAGCCACTTATGCAGAAAGAGTAATAATTTATGCTCTACAAGTCATATAAAAAATGAAGTTTCATTTGTTTACCGGCTAATTTACTTCCTGGGAGACATTTTTCATTCTAAAACAGTGATTCCCTACCAAGAGTTCATAGATGCCAAGAAGTCCATAAAAGGCGTAATGGAATTGCCAAATTATGTTAAATACTTCAAAAGGACTCAAAGCCATATACTAGTTCCCAATAGGCCTGCACAAGTTATTAGAACAAGCTGCTTTGCATTCTTGTGTGATCAGAACCAGTAACTAGATGGCAATCAGGTCTGTTACTGAAGATGGAAAAACTATACTTAAGTTTGTATAACAATCTTTCATAACATGGCTTCACAGAAAAGAAGTATAAAAAGGATTCCTTGGTTGAAAAAGAGTGCTCTTTTCCCTTCATTATTTAAGATTAGGACAAATTTATAAAACAGGAAAAAAATAGCACAAATCCCTTGGCAAACAGAGTAAAACATCTACTCTGTTTTGCTTTTTTTCACTTCTTACACTCTCTTTCATAGGAAGTCAATTTACAGACTTCCATCAAGCCCTTAGAGACCTTTTTGTACTATCCATGACAAGCTCTTGATGTTATCTCTGCACTTTTGACAAATTCTTAGCAGTTAACTTACAAGGCAGTTAAGATTTTTGTTCAAGCACAATATAGCTAGAATAGGCTCATACATTCAATAAAACAAATATTTACCAAGCATTTATTGAGTGGAAGATAAAAAGCACAAAGCATAATTATAAAATATTTTCCCCTGCCACCATAAAAAAATTAAACAGGCTTACAGAATACAGTGTAAGAAAACATGACCAAAGCAAAAATAGTAAGGACTAAAGAAGGGAGGAAGGGGAAATATCAACATGGACTGAATATGACCCAAAAGAGCCTTGATGGATGGTCAGACATGTAAAGGCAAATTGGTTAGGGTTAAGGGGTGGAGGTCAGGGCACGTTCTATAGGGAAACGGCAGCTGATACAGAAGCCTGAAAGGAAAAGCGGGCAGAGCACCTGGACAGGACTCTTCAGGAACGAGCACGCACGTGCGTGAAAAACAACTTAGTGAGGTACCGTTCACCCAAACATTAGAGAAACCGCGTAAAAATGCTTCTTGGTAAGCATGAAGAAGGCAGGGCTCGCCCTGTAGAAGAACTCAATAAACATTTGAACTGTCTAAAGAGTAAAAGTTAATGAATAGGCCAAACTCACTCCTTTCTTTGTTTTAAGAGCTACAACTTTAGAGAATAACAAATCACAAACCCAGTAGACAGGTCCTGGCATTTCAAATCCAACCCCATTTTTCCCTTAATCTTTCCCCTCTGAGCAAATGGTATCGACATGAACAAGCCATGTTGATTTGATCAAGACACTCATCCATGGTTAAAAGAGTCTTTACTTTCAAGAGATACAAACAGAAATATTTACATGGGCTAATTTACTGGGCAACAAGAGAGAAACTCCGTCTCAAAAAAAAAAAAGGAAATAAAAGCATACAAAGTGAAAACAAAGAAATTAAACTGCCCTTATTTGCCAGTGACATTACTGTCTATGCACAAAATTCCAAAAATCTACAAAAAAGCTTCTAGTACTAAAAATGAGTTTAGCAAGGTTGTAGAATCCAAGGTCAGCATATAACATAAAATCACCTTCCTATATACTAGCAATCACCAACTGGAAATTGAGAAGTATCATTCACAACAGTACCACAAACATGAAATAAATGTGTAAGATTACAAAATACAAGCAAGATCCAACTGCTAAAAACTACAAAACACTGACAAAAAATCTAAGAAGGTCTAAATAAATAGATATACCATGTTCATGGCTCATTATTAAAATGTCAGTTGCCTCCTAACTGATTTCCAGTTTCAATGCAATGTCAATCAAAAACCCCAGCAGGCTCTCACGCCTGTAAGCCCTACACTTTGGGAGACCATGGTGGGAGGATTGCTTCATCCCGGGAGTTTGAGACCAGGCTGGGCAACATAGAGAGACCCTGTCTCTACAAAAATAAAAAAATTAGCCAGGCATGGCGGTGCATGCATGTGATCCCAGCTACTTGGGAGGCTGAGGTGGGATAATCGCTTGGTTCAAGGCTGCAGTGAGCAGTGATCCTGCCACTGCGTTTCAGCCTGGGCAACTGAGTGGGACACTTTTTTTTTTTTTTTTGAGACAAGGTCTCGCTCTGTCGACCAGGCTGGAGTGAAGTGGTGCAATCTCGGCTCACTGCAACCTCCATCTCCTGGGTTCAAGTGATTCTCCTGCCTCAGCCTCCCAAGTAGCTGGGATTACAGGTGCCCGCCACCATGCCCAGCTAATTTTTCTGTTTTTAGTAGAAACGGGGTTTCACCATGTTGGCCAGGCTGGTCTTGAACTCCTGAACTCAAGTGATCCACCCGCCTCGGCCTCCCAAAGTGCTGGGATTACAGGCATGAGCCACCGCACCAGGCCATGAAACACTTTCTTCCACCCACGGCTTTCTCTTCTCTCCCCATTTACAGCAATAAGACAGCCTAACCTGGGAAAGAGAGAGAGAGGGAAGCTACTTCCAAATGGATGCCTGTCCCCATCAGTAATAACCAAGTCTATTCAAGTGCTAGATGTTAACTTTAAAAGAAGGAAACATCAAAAGTCCAAGTTTCAGCCGGGTGCAGTGGCTCATGCCTGTAATCCCAGCACTTTAGGAGGCTGAGGTGGGTGGATCACGAGGTCAGGAGTTCAAGACCAGCCTGGTCAATATGGTGAAACCCCGTCTCTACTAAAAATACAAAAATTAGTCAGGCATGGTGGCGTGTGCCTGTAGTCCCAGCTACTCGGGAGAGGCAGAAGATTCGCTTCAACCGGGGAAGCAGAGGTTGCAGTGAGCCAAGATCGTGCTACTGCACTCCAGCCTGGGTGACAGAGCGAGACTCCGTCTCAAAAAAAAAAAAAAAGTCCAAGTGTCTTCGCCTAGCTTTGTCAGGAATGTTTTTACCCTCAGTCTGTAAGTGTGACCAAATATATTTTTTAAAGGTTTACCCTCTCAATCTGTTAAGTTCAAAGGTTAACTATAATCTCTTCATAAGAAAACTATTGGAAAGATGGAATAAAATACACAGAAATGTCCTTAACAGGTAAATATTTATTTTTCTTTCTTATTATTATACTTTAAGTTCTGGGGTATATGTGCAGAACGTGCAGGTTTGTTGCATAGGTACACACGTGCCATGGTGGTTTGCTGCACCCATCAACTCGTCATCTACACTAGGTATTTCTCCTAATGCTATCCCTCCCCTAGCCCCCCAACCCCCAACAGGCCCCAGTGTGTGATGTTCCCCACTCCCTGTGTCCATGTGTTCTCACTGTTCAACTCCCACTACAGGTAAATATTTCTAGAATGTATCTACTCCATCAGCTAGTGTAAGTATTCTAAACTGTGCTAGTATAGCTGCTTTAAATCACTGCTTTCTTCTGCAAATGGTGGCACCTTTAAAGTGTTATCTTGAAGGGGAAGTGAGTGATTTGCTCATGTCTCTGCTGAACTAACACTGTTAACACCCAGTCCAGTTCTACCTTAAACAAGTCTGAGAAATACAGACATAATCCATACTTGTTATTTGTCAAGACTAAGGTAAAATAAGGAAAGTTGGAACTCACTCATATCCTCTTATGACTGATGTACTGAAAACAATCCATCTCTCACCATTTCCTAAATAGCATAGTCACAAAGAGCTCTACCCTACCAAGTACTCTGCAAGTCCCACTCTCAAAGGAAGACTCACAGGTGACTGAGAAGATAAATTTGCTATTGTTTCCATTATCCTTCAGTTCATCTGACACCTTTGAAGAAACGCATTTGGATAAGACTCACAAGTCTCAGGGCCCCTTCTTTATGAAAGAAATAGCTAAGCCTCCATACTCAGAAGCATCAGACTTTTCAGAATGCTTAAGTCATGTAAAAACGTATCAAAATTATTATCATTACAGCTACCAGGAAATAGCTACCTACTCCATGTTAGATACTGCAGTTAAGTATCTCACACAGTTTCACTGATTCCTAACAACACTGCAAAGCATGTTACTAACCCTTAAGGAGTAGGAAGCTGAAGCTCTGAGAGGCTATGCAACTACTCAATGGAAATGTGGGGATCTGAACTCTACCTAGCTCCAAAGGGCGTACTTTTTTCTAAAATTTCTAATTTTTTTCCAATTTCACAATGGAGGCAGAGTTTTCACTACAATTTTAATAATTTCACCAGCTGGGTGGGGTGGCTCACGCCTGTAATTCCAGTACTGTGGGAGGCTGAGGTGGGAGGACGGCTTGGGTCCCAGGAAGACAACTGGGCAACAGTGAAGATTCTGACTCTAAAAAAAATAAGAATTTCACCAAAAGGGGGAACAGATTTCTAAATCGGAATCTCTTGTTAAAATCCTTAGAGCACTAGTTAAGCCCCACTTCTTTTCAAAAAATAACCGACAGATTAAAAAAAAGGTTAGAAGTCCTTTTAAAGTAAATTTCATCAGAGATCTGCAAGTGAATTGTCATTTTGGACAAGTCCCCAGAGTTGGTGGCCCTCTCCTGTGTACACCAGCTACCACTAGGCAGTAAAAGTAATTTACCCAATTCAAACACATACCGTGCCTGCACTATGTTAAAACCACTGGCAAAGAGGGTACAAAGTTAAATAAGGTCTATCACAGCCCTCAAGGAGTTAAAGGACTAGAGGAGGAGTCCATTTATAGTATAGTATGTGTGCAGTTACCATTTAGTCAAGGCAAACGAACTGTGAGAAATCCTACAACAATAGTACCTACAGTATAACATGCCATCACCGCCCACAGAAGGAAAGCAACTGGTGCCCTCGTCACGTTATGTTGTTAGTACTTGCTTACATGATGTCCCTCCCTGACAATCCCTTCCAACCTCTGTCAGCCTCCTTCCCCACAATCACACACACACACAAAACCACACTGCCAGGAAGGGAAGCCATTGAGTGAGTATTGTGAATCCTACAAGTGGCTCTGTAGTTTAAAAGGGCAATGCCTGTGCCTGAAGAAAATTTGTCTTTAGCTTCATCAGGTGAAGAAAATTGGTTTTATAACACAAGGCCCACCAAACCAGAAAAGCCCAGGAACGCTTCTCCAAAGGACTCACTTAGCACGAGAAATCACTCAGAGCAAACTGACGCACACAGTATTTGTCAAATTTTTCTTTTTCATTTAGCAGAAGGTAAGGTAAAGGACTACAACTGAAGTTAATAAATGACACTCTAGCCATTTTGATCATTTGTCACTATAAATGATAGACATTTAAGCTAGTTCCATCTGGGGAAGTGAAACAGAATCATGTTCATATAATAAGCCAGACGAACCAAATTCAGTGGAATACGTGCACCCAAAACTGGACCAGACTTGTACTTAATGCAGCCTGCAAATCCCCAAGAGTCCACGACAGAATACAAGAACAGTAACACTGGTTTATCTCAACTCATCTTAGCTCCCTCACAAACTTGCCAATAATGACCTTTCAAGAACTGCACCGTTGGTCCTCATCTGGGCAATCCCGTGGCTTAGAAAAACTGAATAAAGTGCTTCTTCGAAAAATAAAACAATGCGGGGAGGGGGGAGTAGTAACAAAAAAAAAGGCACACTGGTTTTTACTGTACTGAAGCAATAAATTCTCCAACGAACTTCATTAATGAGTATCAGCAAAGAATGAACACCAAAATACCGCTCAATCCAACTTTCATCGTGAATTCTTGAATTCACAGTAGGATCATTAAATGTGACGGTATCACTCTGCTATAAAAACTATTTCCAAAACAAAACAAACCTATCTACCCCCTTTCTTGATTTAAAAAAAAAAAAAAAAGAAGAAAGAAGGAAAATTTGAGGGTTTTTGCTTTTTTCAACTTCACATACCGGTTTGCCTTTGCAAAAAAAAAAAAAAAAAATGTTTAGTCTCAAAGTATAGCTGCAAGGTGGACCGGCTGCACGGGTCCCAGAGGGCCGCTCGCCTCCGACGGTCGCAGTTTCAGCCGGGCCGCGCCCGCGAGAAACAGCGGAGAGGCCCCAGCAGGCGGGCGCCGCCGGACAGGTTTACCGTCCGCGTCGGCCCCGGGGAACCGCTCCCTCGCGCCCGCAGCACTTGTTCGCGGCGCGGACTCCACACCGCGGCCGCCCGCCCCAGGGGAGGAGTGAGTCCGCCCCAGCGGCGCCAACCCGGGGACCCGGGGCAAGGGTTCGGGGCCATCCGCCGCCGGGCGCGCCCCCCATCCGGAAAGCGGCGACGGCCCCCAAGTTGGGCTGCGGAGTGGGAGGCGCGCCGAGCCCCAAGCAGACAATGCGGGAGAAGGGTGATGCGCAGGGAGGAGGGGTCCGCAAAGCTGAGGTCCCCGCGCCGCCCGGCTACCCATCCGTGCCGCCCGCCCCTGAAGCCCCGCGCAGCCCCCGACCCTCCTCTGGGGCCCGCCCCACCGAGCGGCCGCAGGGGACGGGCCGCGCTCCGCACCCCGACCCCTCCTCAAATCACAAAACTTCCCCCAACTCCGCCAACTAAGTTGCGCTCTCACCGTGCGGCTCCCGGGGCTCCCCCGCGGGCCGAGCCGAGACAGCTCCTCACCTTCGCCGCGGAGAAAGACAATAGGCTGCCTCTCCCCCGGCGGCGGCAGCAGCGGCTGCGGCTAAAGCGGCGGCAACCGAGGCGAGCAATGGGCACGGCGGTCTCGGCCGAGCCGAGGGGCTTCACCGCTGCTGTTCCGGCTCCGCGACAGCTCTGCACGTAGCCCCAGCCACCCCGCGCACCGGCTACAAGCCGCCCGGGGGTGGCCGGGGCACGCAAGAGGGCAGTAACGTCTGCGAGTCCTCCCGTGAGTACACGCGGAGCAAGGGCTGCGAGCTGGGATTGCACGGCAGAGCTGCCCATCCCGCTCCACGAGACCAATAGTAAGGCACCTGGGCGGGGCGCTCAGGTTGCTAAGGGAGGCTGAGGTTGACCGCCGGGGCTGCTCTGTGGCAAAGTGATCACAGCAGGGTGGCTGGCAGAGACTGCTCTGGGAAATGCCCACTCACGGTCTCCTCTCCGCCCTGTTTCTAGAAACTGCCCTTTCTCTGTGTGCTCGTGGTTACCTGAGCTGTAGCATTTAACCACACATCGTGAAATGATTTACTCCTCTATTTCCCCCACTTCAACTCAGGAAGTGGGGTTTAGTCTTCTGTGTCCACAGCCTAGGACAGTCTAAGGTATTAGGTATTAAATATAGGTATTAAACAAGTGTTGGATGGATGCACGGCGCTATGGCGGAATCACAATTGTGACAGTGCATTCCGTGAACTTTTGGCTACTCGATCACCACAGTCGTTCCGTGTTCAAGCTGCAAAGGACCTCAGAAATCATCGGATTGCTTTGAGAAACAAAATGTGGTCCGTGTACCAACGGCGGCCGAGGAGAATATATTAGCTGGTACACAGAGAAACTTCTTTTTTCAAATAGTTAAGTGTTTTAGTGCTCATTAGGAGGGAAATGCCTATCACGTCAAATCATTGTTTCATTAATGTTACTTCTTAGGTCAAATAAAAAGTGGCAAAAAACAAGTGTATTTCAAGAAAAGTGTTAAGTGAAACTTGAGACACTTTATATGCAGTTCAAGAATGTAAAATACTAGTTGACAGTGATTGAAGTAAGAACAGTTGGTTAGGTAGGAGGAGAAGATTATTGGCTGGGAAGGAGGAGGAGGGAACCCTCTGTGGTGCTGATTCTGTATTTTGACCTGGGTGATGGATAACAAAAGTATGTACATCAATAAAAAATACATCCAGTGCACTTTAGATTAGTGCACTTTACACATTTTATACATGTATTTTTAATGTCAATTTTTAAAAAATCTGGTATGGTATATACCCCCACAACCCCCCCCCCCAAAAAAATGCAAAGATGCAAATGACTGCCATTTGGGAAACACTGATCCAGGCAGGCTCACTAGCAGTGACCAAACACCTGAGAAAGGGTATTGTGAATACCTGATGTATGTGCCAGGAACTTCCATGGTTGAATAGCTCCAAATCTCAGAAATGCTCCTAACCTAGTGTTGAGCTCTGGTGCATAGATATATTTTCTTTTCTTTCTTTCTTTTTTTTTTTTTTTTTTTTGAGGCAGAGTTTCACTCTTGTTGCCCAGGCTGGAGTGCAATGGCACGATATCAGCTCACTGCAACCTCCGCCTCCCAGGTTCAAGCGATTCTCCTGCCTCAGCTGCCCGAGTAGCTGGAATTACAGGCACATGCCACCAATTCCAGCTAATTTTTTGTATTTTTAGTAGAGACAGGGTTTCACCATGTTGGCCAGGCTGGTCTCAAACTCCTGACTTCAGGTGATCCACCCACCTCGGCCTCCCAAAGTGCTGGGATTACAGGCTTACAGGTGTGAGCCTCAGCATCCAACCCAGAATAGCTTAAAAAAAAAAAAAAGCCAGGCATGCCCAGTTCTTCATGTGAAATTATTTCTGTATCACCTCATCATGCTGCTCACCCTCTTCCACTGTTCTCTAATTTGTCCTTGTTGATATTTAAAAGCTGGCACAAGGCCGGGCGCAGTGGCTCACACCTGTAATCCCAGCACTTTGGGAGGCTGAGGAGGGTAGATCACTAGAGCCCAGGAGTTCGAGACCAGCCTGGGCTACAGGTGAAACCCCATCTGTACTAAAAGATACAAAAATTAGCCAAACGTGGTAGCCCAAATCCCAGCTACTTGGGAGACCGATGTAGAAGGATCACTTGAGCCCAGGAGGAGAGGTTGCATGAGCCAAATCAGCAGGGCAGCTGCAGAGTGGGGTGCAAGGTCCTCAACCCAGAGGTTCCCTAGGCCCCACTTGCCCCAGCTCATGAGAGCCTGGTTCTGAGCTCTGCCAGGACCGGGGCTCAGCACTGCCCATGAAAACAGGCGTGGCAGGGAAGAAAATCATAACCAAATATTTGTAGTCATTCCAGAACCTCCCTTCTGGAAAGGGAGGTTCCCAGGTTTGTGGGCTCTTTGCCTCCTGGACATTATTGTGTAGTGAAGGGAGAAAGGTTGAGATGCAGAGTTGGAGAAACTAAGAGAGGCCGAACTGGTCCATTTGAGGAAAGATGACTGATCCCAGAAGGGGAGGAGGGGACACCCTGGGGAAGCAGGGGGCTTCCCAGATGGTCCAAGAAGGGGAGGGCAGGATATAGAAAGTCAGAGCATGGTTTTGAGTTTTGGAGACAACAAGAGAAAAGAGGGAGGGATTTGGACAACTATGGAGAGGACTGGGCTGTGGAGAGAAATGTTTAGAGATTTGGAAGATGGTGTGTCATGCGATGTATTGTGAAAACCCCTTCTTCATATCCCTAAAAGACCACCGCTGATGGTGATTCATGGTACAATTGATGATTGTATCATGATATAATTCAGTGCTTTTGCAGAGGGATTGGTGCCTTTTTAAAATAATAATGATGCTTTGGCTTGGCTCCATCTGAATTAGTAGAGACAGACATCTTGAGCAGGTTTTATCAGAGTTCCATTAGCTAAATATTGGGTTTCCTATTTTGTGGCTTGCTTTAAACCACTTTGTAGGCCCTTCCGCACTGAAAGCCACTACAGAAATCACCTCTTTGGTCTGCAGCTCCACGTCCCCAAGCTCTGGGCTTTCCTGAATGAGTGGCCTCATTCAGAAGATAATACAGCATCCCTCATCCGAAAATCCAAAATCTGAAATGCTTCAAAATCCAAAACTGTTTGAGTGCCGACATGATGTTCGAAGGCCAGATTCAAAGGAAATGCTCATTGGAGCATTTTGGATTTCAGATTTTCGAATTCCAAAATCTGAAAAAAATCCAAAATCTGAAATACTTCTGTAATTTAACCTGTAATAGACATTTGGTCCTGACCTTCCAGCTGAGGCAGCAAGCAGTCAACAGAGGCTCACCATGCATCCCTCCTGCTCCTCACCCTCCCACGGGCTTGTGCCTCACCCCCCAGCCTCCCTTGCACCTGCTGGGGAGGGGACAGGATGCTCCTGCTCTGCCTTCTTGGATCTCGGGCTACTGTGATAATTGCAGGATTCCAGCCAGGGAAAATGCTACAGGTAGAAGTACTTGGTACTCTCCATAGAGAAGTTTCCAGCAATGGCACATCTGCCCCAGGAAGTGTGCTGCCACACCCAGCTAATTTTAAAAACTTTCTGTAGAGGTGTGAATTCACTATGCTGCCAAGGCTGGTCTTGAATTCCTGGCTTCAAGTAATCCTCCCACCTTTGCTTGCCAAAGTGCTGGGATTACGGCATGAACTAGAGCTCCCAGCCGAGAGTTTAGTTTTGTTTGCTAGTGGTGTTCTTGGTATCTTTTCATATTTGAGGCTTTGGTGCTAGTGCTGAAGTATTACACTCACCATCCGAGGTTTGCAGGACTTTTGTTTCAGTATTGAACAGATGGAACTGTTTAGTTCTTC
Organism: Homo sapiens; assembly: GCF_000001405.40. Taxonomy (NCBI): domain Eukaryota; kingdom Metazoa; phylum Chordata; class Mammalia; order Primates; family Hominidae; genus Homo; species Homo sapiens. The sequence continues at coordinate 84,439,838 of NC_000015.10, read as the reverse complement.
ATCTTTGCAGGTATACCAAATGTGCCTACCAGGAGTCTGCTTTATAGCCATTGAAAAGCAAGAAGTAATATAGTAAAATTTTGCCTGGCTAGAGGCTTTGGAAGACAAGTATTTTGGCTTAATTCTATTAACGTGGAAGGATGAAGGTGAAAAAAATTCAAAACTTTAATATCCTGTTTATTGCAATTTGAAAATATAGCCAATGATTCCACTTTTCTTCTCCAGTAAGTTTGGACATTCTGATCTACTTGGTGTTTTATTACAGAACTGCTAGTGTGCCTGAGTCTTACATTGTGAAGATCCTTCTCTAAAACTTCACATGTAAGAGAATATAAATGATATTGGATAAGATCAGGCTGGATGAGAACTGATACCTGTAAATATGCGATTTAGACGAAATCTCTGATTGTTTTCTTATTTAACTCATAAAAATAAAACACATTGGCTGGAAGGTGGGAGCAGGAAGGAGATTTATGTCTTTTAATTGCACGTCATTGTTTCATATAGAGAAAACATATAGTATCCCTGGTTTTGGACCTACAGAAGGAAACACATTTTTCTACCTGCTGTATGCCAGAGGTTCTTGAACACCTGGAGGGATTACTGCAGCACAGATTGCTGAGCCCTACTCCAGAGTTTCTGATTCATCAGGTCCAGGGTGGGGCCGGAGGATGTGTATTTATAAGAAGTTCCCAGGTGCTGCTGGAGCTGCTAGTCCAGAGACTACATTTTTGAGAACTGCTCTCATATACTAACTGTAAGTTGCAGAGCTCTAGAAAAAAAGCTTAGTTTGGTGTGGGATAAGAAGCACACAGGTTATGGAGAAAATCATGAAAGATTCAACCCTTGATCCCAGCCTAGTGTGGATTTCAGGTAACAAGCAATACACAGTGACATAACAAATTCTTGGTTTTCATGACTGCAAGTGAGAGCCAAGTATCAAGTGAGAAATTCAGCTTCATTTGCAAGGCTTAGAGAGGCCAGGTGATTCTAGAAAAATGGGCCTTGTAATTCTCTTAAACCAGTAAAGAGCTTTAAGTGGTTATTAAATTGAAAGCTTTGTGTTCTTACTTATTTTGTATTTTATTTTATTTCTTTTGAGATGGAGTCTTGCTCTGTCGCCCAGGCTGGAGTGCAGTGGCGTGAGCTTGGCTCACTGCAACCTCCATCTCCTGGGTTCAAGTGATTCTCCTGCCTCAGCCTCCCAAATAGCTGGGATTACAGGCACCCGCAACCACGCCTGGCTAGTTTTTGTATTTTTAGTAGAGACAGGGTTTCATCATGTTGGCCAGGCTGGTCTCGAACTCCTGACCTCAGGCAATCCACCCACCTCGGCCTCCCAAAGTGATGGCATTACAGGCGTGAGCCACTGCACCCGGCCCAAAAGCTTTGTGTTTTTAAAGATATTAGACATGTTTCTTGTTTTTAAAAGAAATCTTAACAATAATGTAGGAGAATAAGACAAACATTTTTCCAAAAAAGAGAAATTGTTGTGATTATTTTGTCTTATTGGAATGTCGGATACTATAGTCGGCTTCATTAATCATCAAGCATGCTATGGATTTTCCATTTTTATAGGATCTATATCTCAGTTAAGGTAATACTGGTAATTCTTGTACTCCATTTGAAGATGAAAAATATAGGCCAAAATCACAGACTTTGCACAGAAGCTGCATAATGAAGACAGCTCTGGAGGAACACATAGATACACACACACAGACACACATATATATAAAGTATATACACATATATTTTTTAAAGTTTATTTTTTACAGTTTTAAAAGTTTTAAAGCAAAACCCAGCCCTTCCCCTCTCCCAGAGTGGGCGGCCCCTCCCCTTTCTCTGAGTGGGCGGGGACAGCGGTTGCATGGGCAGCTTTCCTTATGATGCCACAGGTCCCTCTGGACATGCTGCTGCCTGGCCACGCCTCCTTTCCCTTTCATCTTTCTCACTGACCAATGGGCTTGGAGCATTAAGGCCACGCCCCTATTCTGCGTTCCATTGGTGCCCTGGTTACGCCACCTGTGGCTCAGTTGCACAGCTGCCTGGTAGGTGACTGGAGGCATTGAGCAGTGCTCACTGGTATTTCGCTGATGTGGCCCCAACCCCGCCTCCCTCCCCACCCCGCGATGTCAGAAAAAACACAACAGGGGAAATTGGCCGCAGCCAAGAAAAAGGTAAAACACACCAGGTCATGGCCCCCAACCCAGCCACAGATCCCCTCCGATGACAAGACCTGTGCCAGAGTCCATACCACTCCTGAGGCATACCAGATGGGGCCCCCCAACCCCAGCCCCTCTGGGCTCCCCCAACCAAAGCCTAGTCAGTCAGCCCCACCCCTTCAGCAAGCAGCCCAGTCCCTGCCCTTGCCAATCACCCCAGGGTGACTTTGGGCAGGTGACTCCTGGGGCTCCCTGCTCCATAATCAGCTCTCACCTCCTGCCACCCCAAGCCCAACCTCCCTGGGCTCTTTGGGCTTGCGTCTCCCAGGACCTGGGTCCCCCAGCCCCAGGCCCTGCCCTCACCAGTCATCCCTGGGTGGCTTTGGGCTGGTGACTCCCGGGGCTCCCTACTGCAGACTCTGCCCTCCCCTCCTGCTGCCCCAAGCTCGACCTCCCTAGGCTTCTTGGGCTGGCGTCTCTGAGGACCTGGGTCGAAACCGTGTGTTTCCCTCCCCCATCGTGGAGCAGCGACTCGGGCATCGCGCTGATGTGGTCCCCTCCCCTGGGAGGAGTGGAATGCAATGATGTCACAGTGCCCCTAGGAACTGTCATTACTGCTGCAAGACCGGCCTTTGATCTTACAACCCAGTCCCCTAAGTTTTCTCACCCCATTTCTGGTTCCTCTGGTTGCAGCACAAATTTCCAGCTGGAAGGGGAGTGGAGACTATGGGACCTAGGAGCAAGAGGTTTCAGGCTGCCTTACTCCCTTAACATAGACATTGACAGTGGGAAAAGCCTACACTTCCCCTGTGAGCTCAAAATGTTCACAGTATCTCTGGGTGGCAATGGGAGAATGGGTTTGGTTTGGTTTTTTCCCAGGCTTCTACTTTCCAGAGAGACTTTAACATTTTTTTCTGAGTTCTCCACGGTTCTGGGACCAGACTGCCCTTCAGTCAGTGGCCTCTGAAGTGAGATTTGCTCATCTTCTGTGGAATAGATCTTGGGAAACTGAACTTGACAGCTTGAATCTTCCTCATATCGTCTCAACCTGGGGTACTTTGAGTGCCACAGGATAAATGTGGGACATCTTTCTGAAGCATCATTTCCCCTTGATTCTCTTGAGAAAATGCATTAATGTACTTAGGGATGACAGACACATAGGTTTCCAAGCGTATACCAGACTTCGCTCTGAAATGAGGCTTGGGTTGTCCTCTTTCTGATAAATTCCCAGATTTAATAGAAAAGCTGCCTTCTGCCATGAGGACACATTGATATGAAAGTGTGAGAGGTACTGGCACGCTTCTTCACGCTAGCAGACCTGTGAGGATGTATGACTCTAAACCACACGGCCTACAGTTCCTGCCTGCTTAATGTTTACTTTTCTACCTCTGCCCCTGGTTTTGGTCCCTGGAAGCTGCTGATTCATGGCAAAACCCCAGAGCTTGGAGTCAGAGGACTGAGTTTAAGTTCCAGTATTGCCTTTTTTGATCTTTCTTTTTTTTTTTTTTCTATCCATGATATCAATCCCTCTCAGTCACTAAGTGATTGTGACAACACCTTGTACAGTTGTTGGTGGCATTACATCAGATGGTATATAAGGGTATTTTGTCAAAACTGTAAAGGAGGATGTGGCTGTAGGGGCTGATCATTCTCATGAGTGTTACCGCTCTTCTTTCCCACAGTTAAAAGCATATTGGCAGAGGAAGAGCCCTGGCATTCCAGCAGGAGCTAACAGGAAAAAGAAAATCAATGGCAGTAGCCCTGACACAGCCACTTCTGGTGGTTACCACTCACCTGGGGATGTGAGTCTCGGCGGGCCAGGGTCCTGGGGACAGGGGGCCCAAGGGGCAGTAGAGGGTAATTGTTAAGATTGTAGATGGACTGTTGGGTACTGGTTAAGAATTCTGGATTTGAATCCTGCCTCTCCATCTGCTAAGAATTGATTAGGGATTGATTAGCATATGATTTAGGGCAAGTTGCTTGAGGTCTTTGGGCCTCTCTTTTCACATCTGTATAATAGAGGTGGTATTTTTTGACTTCCATTTGTGAAGTTTAAATGAGATTCGTTATTGTTGCTTTTATGTGAATCCTTAGTACATGGCCTGCTGCAAACACCCAGGACACCGAGGAAATGGTCGTTGCTGTTTGATTTTCCTCATCCCCAGTCTCAAGGGGAAGCCAGGCCAATGAGAAGAGCCACTTGCCATCAGGCTGTCCCTTTAGGAGTCACTGAAAGGGCCCCAGGGTGGGATGGTGGGGAGATAAGAACCACGAGAGAAGTTGGCACAAAGGAGTTATGGGAAAAAGGGTCCAAGATAGGCAGAAAAGAAGCTTTTGCCAGTTGATGGGGGAAGAAAGGAAGTCAGAGGGCTTAGACAGTGAGGGGGGACAGAACATCTCCATGTGCACTCTCATCTCTTGCAGTCAGCAACAGGTATCTACGGGGAGGGCCGTGCATCCTCTACTACCCTGGAGGATCTGGAGGTAAGAGGCCCTGGGCCGAGGTGCAGTGACCCTGCAGGCCAGCCCTCCAACCTCCTCCCACAGCAGGGGCTTGTTGCCCCTCTGCCAGCTGAGGCAGCCCACACACCCCCACCAGCCCTAATGATTATTCTCTCTACCCCTCCCCACAATCTTCCTCCAACTCCTTCTCTCTGCATGCACCTCAGAGCCAGTACCAAGAACTAGCAGTGGCCCTGGATTCAAGCTCCGCAATAATCAGTCAACTCACTGAAAACATCAATTCACTGGTAAGAGTCCAGTGGGGTCCCCTGATTACAGCTGGTCAATCCTGGACTCCAGTTTCCTCTTGGGGCCCTGAAGAAAGGAGCTAGGGGCCCCTGATGCCAAGGGCAAATGGGGAGCTGGGCACCCAGGTCTCACCTGGAGGGACCCCAGAGCACAGAACATGCAGCATGGGTCTTCTGCACTGCCCTCTTTGCTGACTCTCTCTTCTCCAGACACCCCTGCTCTAGTCCTTGCCACACATGCCCTGGGGTTGTCACCTCTCTGGGAAGCACTAGCCTGACTGGTTGTCAGGGGTCCATATTTCTGCCCTGCCTCAGTCCCTAATTTGCTTTTTGAGTCTGGACAAGCCATCTCTCCTCTTTATGCTCGTGTTTCTGGAGGAGGTAGAGAGTATCAAAGGTCTCGGTTAGCTCTGAAAGTCAGAGATTTAAAGGCCCCTAGAATGGAAACCTCAGGGCCAAGGGCTCCTGTCTGTCCTTTGCTGTTTTATATCTCTGCTATGAAGAACTGTACCTGGCCTGTACATGCTCAGTAAATGTTTGTTGAATGAATGCACGTTTCTAAATCACAAACTGGCAGAAGGGGGGTGGGCCCTTCTCAAACTCTGTCTCTGGAGGTTCACCAGCCCCTCCCTCCAGGGCCCTTTTCCCCCTTTGCTTTGGGCAGGTTCGCACATCTAAGGAGGAGAAGAAGCATGAGATACATCTGGTACAGAAGCTTGGGAGGAGCTTGTTCAAACTCAAAAACCAGACGGGTAAGATGGGGCTGGCATGACCTGGCAGCTGGACTGGCATTAGAGGGCTGTGGGGGTGACTTAGAATGCCCCAGGGAGGTGGGTGGATGGAAGGGCTTTGAGGCAGAGGGAAAGAGGTCTGTGCCAGGGGAGGACAAGTCTTGTCATCTCCATGAGCCTCAGTGTCCCCATCAGTAAAGAGGGAGGAGTGCCCATTGTCAGCCACCCACAGTGCTCTCTATCTGAAAGTGACTTGGAAGACTGGCTACCATCCGGGTGTGAGGAGTCATTAGCAGTGAGGCCAAGTTTGGGAAGCCTGAGAGGAGGAGCTGTGCACCGAAGGGAGGATTTTTTTTTTTTTTTTGAGAATCCAGAGGCCCTTATTGTCTGCTTCCTTTCTCAGCTGAACCCCTGGCCCCAGAGCCCCCAGCAGGGCCATCTAAGGTAGAGCAGCTACAAGATGAGACCAACCACCTAAGGAAGGAGCTAGAGAGTGTGGGAAGACAGCTCCAGGCTGAGGTGGAAAACAATCAGATGTTGAGTCTCCTGAACAGGAGACAGGAGGAGAGGCTACGTGAACAGGAGGAGAGGCTACGTGAACAGGAGGAGAGGCAACGTGAACAGGAGGATAGGCTACATGAACAGGAGGAGAGGCTACGTGAACAGGAGGAGAGGCTGTGTGAACAGGAGGAGAGGCTGTGTGAACAGGAGGAGAGGCTACGTGAACATGAGGAGAGCAGGAGGAGAGGCTACGTGAACAGGAGGAGAGGCTGTGTGAACAGGAGAAGCTGCCAGGGCAGGAGAGGCTGCTGGAAGAGGTGGAGAAGCTGTTAGAACAGGAGAGGCGGCAGGAGGAGCAGGAGAGGCTGCTGGAGAGGGAGAGGCTGCTGGAAGAGGTGGAGAAGCTGTTAGAACAGGAGAGGCAGCAGGAGGAGCAGGAGAGGCTGCTGGAGAGGGAGAGGCTGCTGGAAGAGGTGGAGAAGCTGTTAGAACAGGAGAGGCGGCAGGAGGAGCAGGAGAGGCTGCTGGAGAGGGAGAGGCTGCTGGACGAGGTGGAGGAGCTCCTGGACGAGGTGGAGGAGCTCCTGGAGCAGGAGAGGCTTCGGCAACAGGATGAGAGGCTGTGGCAGCAGTAGACTCTGCAGGAGCTGGAGAGGCTGCGGGAGCTGGAGAGGCTGCGGGAGCTGGAGAGGATGCTGGAGCTGGGGTGGGAAGCCCTGTACGAGCAGCGGGCCGAGCCACGCAGCGGCTTCGAGGAGCTGGTGCGTTGCCCCACCTGGGGAGGCTGCCCTCTTCCCTAGCCCTCAAGGCCTTTGTTTCCCCACCTGTAAAATGGGGCATTGTAGCCTTCACATGAAATGGTACTTCTAAAGGCATCTGTGAGCCAGAGCCCCGCTCTGATGGCTGTGGGAGAGAGGGGATATTTTTCTAACCTGCCTCCACCCTTCCCGGTGCCATGGGAGGCAGACACTAAGTTCTGGGGTCTCCAGTTTTAGTGGGTGGCCACTGATTGCTTCTCTCTGTCCAGAACAACGAGAACAAGAGCACACTGCAGTTGGAGCAGCAAGTAAAGGAGCTGAAGAAGTCGGGTGAGCTGAAAGAGACTGTAACCTCCGACCCATCCAAGAAGATGTGGGAGGCGGGCACCAGCCTCTGGGGAGGGGAGGTGCCAGGCCACAGGCAGCTGCAGCCTGGGGACAGGTGACCCCAGCACCCTCCGGGGCAGTCCTATGACTGTTTCTTGCTTCCTGCCCTCTGACTTTTAGAGGTGGGTAGCCCTGGGGTCCTCCCAGGTCTGGACATCATCATCCCAGCTAGAGGCATGGAGCCCCCCAATCACAGAGGAAGAGACAGTGGTATAAGAGGCTCCTTATGTCGGGTGTGGTGGCTCACGCCTGCAATCCCAGCACTTTGGGAGGCTGAGGCAGGACAATCACTTGAGGTCAGGAGTTTGAGACCAACATGGCCAACATGGTGAAAGCTCATCTCTACTAAAATTAAAAAAAAAATAATAATTAGCCGGGCCTGGTGGTGCATGCCTGTAATCCCAGCTACTCAGGAGGCTGAGACACGAGAATCACTTGAGCCCGGGAGATGAAGGTTGCAGTGAGCTGAGATTGCACCACTGCACTGCAGCCTGGGACACAGAGTGACACTCTCTCAAAACAAAACAAAACAGACAAACAAAAAAGACTCCTTAGATTCAAACTGGATTCCGGCCTCGGTTCCACTGGTCATAATTCAACTACTTTGCATCTCTAAGTCTCTGTTTCTTTAACTTCAAAAGGAAGTTAGCCTTTTCCTTGCAGAGGTGCTGAGGATTAAATGAGATAATACGTGGAAACATTAGGCATGTAGCACACTTAGCAGATGGTGGTTGGCTCCGCCTGCTTTTCCACCAGTCTGTGGCCTACAGTTTAAATGCTGGGAAAAAGGACGTGAGATTTGATGCTAGGGAAGGAGGCATGGGGTTCTAGGCAAGGGAGACAGTCTCTTAGGCCTGGAGCAAGGGGCCAGGGGCCTGGGCAGGCCACAGAGCCCCACAGTGTCCTCGCTACCCTATTAATGGGCCAGGAATCTGGAAGCCAGCCACCACATGTCCTCATGCCCAGGGTCTTCCGGCAGGTGGAGCTGAAGAGCCAAGAGGCTCCGAGTCTGCAGCAGCAGCCAGACCAGTAGCTGGAGCCCCAGTCCCACAAGGAGCTTGGATGTGCGGACAAGCAGGGTGGTGAGTAGAGCCCTCAGGCGGGGTGGGCAGGCAGGAGCAGGGGAGGCTCGCACTGTGCCCAGATTCCCACCCCCCTCCCTCTCTCTGAAGATCTTAGTGGGCTGAGCCTCACTGATAGCATGGAGGCTGCACCGGGAGAGGACAGGGAGGGTTCTCCCCCATGACAACCCCACTGCACAGCAGATCCAGCAGCTGCTTCCTCTAATGCAGGACTCCCCAGGAGCACCCAGGCTTGAGTGGAGAAGCTGTTGGTACAGGAGAGGCGGCAGGAGGAGCAGGAGAGGCTGCATGCCATTCTTTTCGGGCTGCGGAGAACAGGGAGCTAAACATCACCATCATCTAAGAGCGGGTCAAGGAATTGAAAAAAAAAAACAAAACATTTAAGGGGTTAATATCCTACACAATTCATTTACTTCATTTGAATGTTAGAGCCACTTATGTTTATTTGTGTTTCTAATTTATAGTTTAAATTTATTTGTGTTTCTAATTTATAGTTTAAATTTATTTGTGTTTCTAATTTATAGTTTAAATTTATTTGTGTTTCTAATTTATAATTTAAATTTATTTGTAAAAAGTTAAATGAGAGTGGGTGTTTCTCTCATGTTCACTCTGGCATCTTTTAGCATTTTTTTAATTTGATAATTATAGGACGTTAGCATGCATATCGAGTTTGCCCTTATGTGGTGGGAGTTCAAACACACAAAGACCCACTGTATGCACACAACTGTTCTTGCTGGTTTGGGATAGGCTGCCATGCTTTTTTAATGTTAGTACAGCCTGTATATTCATTACGGAATTCAGATAAAATTTCCTTATGTTCTGCTGTTATGTTTGATCGAATCCTAATCACAGTGAGCTCTTCATTAGCTCAATATGCAGTTTGCCCTCAAGTGCGCGGTCTATTACTTTGTAATATGCCACTGTGAGTACTGACATTTACAGTTGTTTAAAGGTGGAGCACTGGAAACAGCCTTTCCCCCTTTTTCTGTGTATTGGGGATGGGAGTAATAACATTTTGGGGAGGTTTTTAAATCTCCCAGAAGAGGAAAGTGGCCTGCTTTGGCAGGTGTGTGCAGGATAGAATATGTTTCATTTGTTCCGGTGCCAAGAATGAGCGCTGTACTACGGTAGTTCCCTTAGGATTTGTATGTGCTCTGGGCTCATGAAGATACTGCCTCATGAGCTGTGGCAGTTGTACTCTTTTTTGATGACCTGAAAAGGGATTATTTCTGAGGAATGAAAGGCTCCCATCATGACTGTGGATGTGGAAAACCTTTTCTAGCTGAGAGCATTTATATCTACAATACATTTTAAAGTCAGAGTTCATGTTCCCTGTTTTAATCACATGACTACATGTCCCAGTACACAAAAGGGCACTGGTTGGCGTTCTCCTTAATGTATTTAGTAAAGATCAGAAGAAATCCTTTAAGAGTTTAAATGCCCCTGGAACAGGCATATACAGGCTCTAGTCAAGAATGAATTCGAGTGAAGGAAAGCTGTGTGACACCTGGCATTCCTCTGTGTTCATGGAGCTTATTTGAGGCTAGAAGATGGATTTTACCATCTAGACCTCTCTGGCTAATAGCTAGTCTTCAACCATCTGACATAGGAATTTACTTCTTTTCCTTGAATGGAGAACACTTTAAAAATAATAACAAACATTATTATAAACTAATATATGTGAGAGTACTTAGTTGAAACAAAAAGGAGTTTTAGTAGACAGTATTATACTACATTTGAAAATCAAGGAGCAGTTTATGCAACGTAAAATGTTTACAAACTGCAGCGCAATCTACTGTTTGTGACTGTCAAAGTGTCATGAGGAAAGTGTCTATACAATCACAGAGTTATATTTCCTCACAAAGTTCTTTACGAAGAGTGAAATATGTTTTTATACCTCTCAGTTTCAGTTAGAGGCATATTTTGTGTAATATTTATGGCTTAAAATGGACTAAAGGTCCTGTTCTTGCCTTTTCTGAACTTGCCGCTTTTGCATTCTTTGAGTTCAGTTTAAAGACACTTACTTTAACTCCATTTTAAACCCTCGGGCTAGAAATCGTACCACTGTTAATTAGCCACGTTATTTGGTCTAACAGTTTTTGTTTATCATTCTGAAACTGAGCTTATCTAATACATTGATAAATTATTTCAAAGGTATTTTTATAGTTCAAATCGCTTCACTTTTACCCTGACACGTATAAATGAATAGGAATGACCTTCAGATAGCGTTTAGCAACTGTAACCAATCTGACAATAATGTGTTCATCAGGTACCTGTGGATTAAATCACATACTGGCATATTTAAGATGAATGTCAGTCTGAAAAATAAATATACTATATTAATTCAAATACGACTCTTTGTGTAGGTATTTTGTCATATGTTTAAGAAAAAGCTAAAGAGAATGGAAATCCTATGACAATAACTCAAGTCTTTCTTCAAAGTGCATGCAGTCTTTTGCAGTACCTCATTCAGCCAAGTATTTGTTCTCTACCTCATTCAGTATAAGGCAGCCTTTAATTTGCTTAGAAGGCAACATTAGAAGGTTAGAGTTCAGCAGGAACATAGAATTTTAAAATGTGACTTCAACTGAATAAATTTGAATTTCTGTAGGGAGTAAAGAATCAAAACACCTATTTAAAGACTGCAAAATATGATAATTATTTTTAAAGTAATTGATTAAACCTGGTAGGTTTTCCCAAAATGAAAAACAATCAGTTCTAAAACCAAAGCTGATTTTTAGAAAATGTGAAAATGTAAATCAACCCTATCCATAATAGATTCTCTAAAACTTTATCTTACAGTCACTTTCAAATAACTATTCAAAAATGTAACTGCTATATTAACGTCTTAAAATAATTTAAAACATTTTAAAATATGAATACTGTAGTTTAAAACAAAGAATCTAGGGGAAGGAAAAGTAGACAAAGAAATGCCAATTCCAGTCCAAAGCTGTATTTGCCAAGTTTTCTTAGAATGACTTTTACCGATTTATGAATTCTTATACACAGAATGCATAATGGAAATACTGATTTTTGTCTAAAGTGGCATTATTGACTGCTGCTGTGATGCTACTGTAATGTAATACATTATTAAATTGTTTCAAGGTGCTGTTTTGCCTAAAAATTTTGTGTGTCTTGAAAACTATAGTATTGGGTATTGAGACTCTGCAAATTCTCGGCATGCTTGGCATGAGGTAATCGGTTTTTATTCTTACAAAATTGTAACTATGTAAGTGTGTTTATTAAAAGAACACAAACTAAAAAAGTTAACAGGAATTAAAGTTGTGGGATGAAAAAGTTACAGGATAAAAAAATACTGTGGAAAAGTGGCAAAAAAAAGTTGTGGAAAAAAAGTAAAAAAAAAGTTTTATGAAAAGTTATTTTAAAAAGTTATGAAAAATTAGTTACAGGATTTAAAAAAAGTCATGGGATAAAAATAAAAATAAATAAAAGCAGGCCCCTGTCAGCATAAGCCTGGAGAAGTGGGTCTGGAGTCTTCACCCCCACCATGTCCCTACAACCCCTCCCCAGTCAGCCCTTTACCATTAGGGTAGCAAGACAAGACCCCTGTCTAATGGAGGGAGACAAACAGACCCTTTACCACCTTGACCAAGGCTGAGTCCTTACATTTCTGGATGATGATGTTTGTTATTTAAGAGCCAGAGGTTGGTGGAGTTGGTTTGTTTGGAGGAGGTCTGACGGCCTTCTTACTCTCACCAAAGCAACTTTTCCCTCAGGGGGGCTCCCATCTTCTTACTCAGAGAGGCAGCTGAGGCGGGACAGTGGAGTTAACTGTAGACCAGGCCAGGGCACAGGCTGCTGGGGGTGGCCCCCCTTCCCCCGTGTACATACTGTAGCTGTGTAACATTCTGTATCGTACCTAGCGGAGGTTGCAGCTGGCATATGAGGAAGAGGTTCTTATAATTATTCGCGGCTGGGAAACTTATTTATTGCTAGCATAGGAGTGAGGAAGCAGGCGGGGATGGGGTCATGGCTGCCTGGTGATGGGACTCCTGTTTTTTGTTTTTTGTTTTTTGCTTTTGATTTTGGAATAAATGGATTTAGCCATACTGCTCGGCCTGGTATGTTCCCATTTCCCTCACTGGGTCCTGCAGTTTGTCCCACTGAATGAGGAGCCCCAGAGTGTCTCAGCATGTCCAGCTGGGCTGTTGGGGACCTTCCAGGCCTGTTACCTGTATGCTGCCTGGTGACACCTGGTGGATTTCATGGGGACTGCCATGGCGCCTACGGAGTACACTCTGGCCCTGACAGCCAACTGGTTGAGAAGCCTGATCTAGCTGTGGCAGGGAAGACAGATACCAGTGCCCAAGGGCACTGACTTCCATCCACCCCAGGTGTCTTCCGTTCTGTCCCCCTGCCTCCCTCTCCTGTCTGCACCGGGTGGCCTGTCTGTCCCTCCAGAGTGCCGGCTGCCCCGCAGGTTCCCTCCAGGCTGAGTTCAGGGCCCTGTCCCCTAGTGGCCAGAGCCGGCTTCACAGGGTAAGAGCCAGCTAAGCTCCAGGGACTTTCCAGGAAAAGTGTCCCTTGAAAAGGGTGTGACCTTTTCACTGCTCCCAACAGCACCCTAAAAATGGCTTGGCCTTTTCCCTCCCCTGAGCTCCATAGAGAACACAGCCAGCAGAGGACACATTCTCTGTCATCCAGAAATGGGTTTCTCAGCCGAGGGACAGCAGGACTGGTAGAGACTGTCAGGCCACACAGCTGCCTGCACAGCACCGCCATGCTTGGCCAGAAGGGCGGGAGGGATGGCGGGGGCTGGCTGTCCACAGGCCGTGCATGTCCCGGAAGCTCACTGGAGGTGGTGCACTTTGGAGGGGCGATGTCAGGAGACAGCTTCCTCTTGCTGGGCTATAAGACTCCACAAGCACAGCACGGGGACTGATTCCCAGTGCTAGAGGCGAGGCAGTTGGCCACGTATATATATGTATATATGTGTGTGTGTGTGTGTGTGTGTGAGAGAGAATTTATAGCTATTTATAGAACAGGGCAGGGGCATACCACAGAGGGGGCACAAGTTTCAGCAACGGTCAAACCTGGACGTGTCAGCTCACCACTACAACAGACTAAGTCACAGAAGAAGGGGGCTGGCTTTGGGGCTGGGGGAGCCACTGTCAAGTCACAGGACACCCACCCAGGCAGGCTTGGAAAGGGAGGTCTCTGAGAAGAGGAGGAATCTGTTTAGAGGTCGAAGTGGGGCCTGGGGCTCCCTGGATGGGATGGACTTGCCTGACCCAATCAGCTGGCAGTTGGAGAGAAAGCAGAGAGAAAACGGGTTAGAGAAAAGCCAGAGCTGGTGAGGCAAGTGCAGAGTATGGGTGCGCTGCAGCAGCTGTGGAGGGCCGGGGAGGGGAGGGCGTAGGTGTGGGCATGGCAAGGTTCCTGGAAAAGAGGGGCTGGAAGGGAAAGGGGAGGAAGATGGAGGGAGAAGCCGGAGCTTCATAGGTAGTGCCTGGGGACTGCGGCGGCCCTCCCCACCCCACACACGCTGGCCTCTTTCATGGCACCCAGGCAGTCCACCCATAGTTCAGATGAATGCTCAGCCCCCTCGGGCTTCTCTCCTCTCTGGTCACCCTGTCTTCCAACTCACGGCCCAGGGCCACCTCTTGCTTGGAGAGCCCCATCCAACAGCCACCAGACCTGATAGAGAAGGAACACTGATTGAACCAAAATGGTGGAGCTATACGGGATGGCTGGCTGGAGTGAATGCCAGAGGCCCCTCTGGGCCATCAGAAAGCCCAGGGTCCTCTGAGGGACCCTGGGGAAGGCAGGGAGGGCAGGTAGCCAGATGCCATTGGCCATAGACTTCTAAGTCTAACAGGGCAGCCTCAACTGGTTGGCGGGGGGCTGCAGGTTACATAGGTGAGGCTGGGCCCTTCCTGCTGGGAAAAGCAGAAGAGGGAGACTCCGCGGCAGGAAAGGGAAGTGAGCTCTCTAGGTGGAGCTCAGCTGGGCCAGCAGCACTATTGGCTGAATATCACAGGCGACCCCTAGAAGCAACAGGCCAAGGTGCGTGAGCCTGCTGGCCAGCAGTAGTGCTTCAGCAGGGGCCAGGGACCCTGCCTTCAGTCGCACGCTAGCAGCTATCATGGTACCTGGGAGGGAGGGAAGGGGGCTGTGTGTCCTTCCATGGCCTATGAAGTGTGTTGTGGGATGACCGCGTGTATAGGACTCTCAGGCTTTTATCCTAGATCACCACTGGATTGCTGACAGATAGAGGACGTGGGACCGTGACTATCACCCCTAATCTGCAGTGGATTTGGCTCTTGGCACTCCCAGGCTGGGAGCTGGATACCTGCCCTGGCAGCATGACTCAGACTGCATGACAGGTACGGCGTGCCCAGGATGATGTGCCCAGGCCTCTGGCCGCCTGAGTCCAGCCCCCCACACAACCCCCTCCAAGCTCCCAGCCCCTACACCATAAACCATGAGCTCTGTGCCCTCTCTGATGGTTCCACATCTGCCACCTTGGGCATGGAGCCTGTTGTAAGAGCCCCCAGGCTCAGCCATGGAGACCTTCAGCAGTGGCACTGAGTCCCGTGGCTCACAGGGAGCAAAGTGAGACAGCCAGCAGCACAAGGACAGAAAGAGGAAAGAGCAAGTCTGCAGCTCCAGAAGGGAGGGGCAGGGAGCCTGGCTCTGAGGCTCCAGGTATGCCCCCTGTGTGGAGCTGGGGCAGCGGGGCAGGCAGACCATTCATGCAGCAGGCAGTGAGGCATGTACCTACCATGGCTGACGCTCCTCAGGGGCCACTGATAGTGATTCTGAAAGACAGCTTCAAATCACATGGCAGGTCACATGCATGGGTGGGGCAGGCCTGGGGGTGGGGGACACACACACGCACATGCCGGAGTGTGCACACACATGCTGTGAGGCCCCACGGCCCACATGCACACGCTAACACACATGCCCACAAACAACACGCATACGTCGCCCTCCCCGCCACCTCCCAATGCCCAGCACCCTCACCGGCCGGCACGTGCCACATGGATCTGGGGCGTGCAGCCACACGGCACACTGAAGCACATGGGTGGGCAGAGTCACAACACAGATGCTCACCCGCACACAGAGGCATTTGCACCAGCTCCCTGCACACTCGTGCCTGGCGTGCTCAGAGGACCACCCATGCTGCTCACGGAGACAGGGCTTGCTCACTAATGTCCGGCTGTCATTTCTCCACCTCAGAGCCTTCCATGGCTCCCTACTGCCTACAGCGTTGAATCCCAACAAGTCATACTCTTTGGACTTTGAAGGTTCTCCACCCTGTGCCCCACCCTCCCCACAGAGCTCTTCCTCATTCTGTCTCTGTTCCCTGCTTTGGCCAGTGGCTATCCGCGATGTGACCCACACTACACCTCTGCCCACACTGCAGCTCTTTACCCAGTTACCCTCCAGTTCCTCACCATGTATGCCTACCTCAGTCATGCCCCAGACTGCATTGAAGCCAGGCTGCCTTGAAGAAGCTCTCCCAGACTGCCCTTTTCCCCAAGGCAGGGTCATGATTTACCAAAGGTTTCGTGTGTGTTAGCAAGACTGGAGTCGGAGCAGGCATCAAACTTTACATCCCATATGTCACACCTCACCATAGATCTGGGTGCCAAATAGCCTGAAGGGTCTGAACTCACGCTGGAAGTTAGCAAAGTGCTCCTACAGCCGCATCTGCAGTTAACATAGTATCCCTATGGCCACTGTCTCCCTTGATCCCCACAGCCATCCTAGGAGAAAGGCAGAACGTCATTTGCTAGAAGGGATGCTGAGGCTCTGGGAGGGAAAGGGACTTGCCTAAAGCCCCAGGGTGAAGCAGCATCTCTGGACTCTCATAGACAGCCTAGAGCTGCCAGCATTCCCTTAGGATCTGTGCCCTCGGGCCTGGCTTAATTTTTTCCTCTGCAAAGAGCCATCTGTAGGGCCAGAGGCTGGCAAAGCCTGACTCATTACTGGACGCCAGTTCCTTTGCCTGACTTTCAGTGATTTCTACCTTACCCTGGGGTTTTATGTTGCTTGTCTCAACACTGTCACTTCTCATTCCTCCACAAGTTGAATTGCTCACTCCAGCCACTTGAAGCATGCTCTTCTTAACACAGTTAGCTCTAGGCACATGGTTGGTGCTAAAAAGGAAAAAAAAAAGAAGAGCATTATGTCAATTTCATTGATTAACAAAAGCGATGGCTCCACTGCAAAGCAAAGTTGATACTCCTGGGCCTCTGAGTTCAAGAGCCTTTTAGACAAATGGCTCTGAGCTAAAACATGATCATGCATGCATATGCATCTGTCTTGGTCTGATGAGATAATCTGGATACTTGCTTGTTATCCTTGAGCATTTTCCTGCCTCATTAATGTATGTGTAGCCACCACAATAATAATCATAGCTAATAATGGCTACAGCTGAGGGCTTTCCTGAACCAGGCAGTGGTTTTAAAAACTTTAACCCCTAAAGCTGAGGACTTTCCTAAGCTAGATAGTGGCTTTGAAAACTTTAAAGTTTTCACATAGACTGTCATTGAATAATTTCTGTTTTTCAGATCAAGAAACTGAGACTTACTATCATATTTGGGATTAAGCTAAAAAAAAAAAAAAAAAAAAGAAAAGAAACAGAGGCTGAACGCTGTCAAGTATTTCACAGCCAGCAGGAAATCGGAACTTGAACCCAGGCAGTCTAGCCCTGGGATCCTTTCCCCTTACCCATTATCCAGTGTTGGCTACACAAAACTAATGAGTACATATTTTCAACTATAGTTTAAGTGGGTGACATATTTTTCACTATATTTTATGTAGGTGACTTTCAGTTTGGGGGTATTCTACTTACACAATCTATTGAGCTGGATATTAACTGAGAGCAAACAGAAACTAATGAACTCTGAAAAACATAAAACATGAGCAACATGACGTCACTGCAAGAGACAAAACAGCACATAGCCTTCTTGTGACTGTATTTTGCTGACAGTCCATGAGCTGATAGCCTGAACTCAGCAGTGCTGTTCCCTTGGGAGACACACACACACACACACACACACACACACACACACACACACACACACGAGTTGGTGGTTTTCTGCCCCCCACCCCCACCCCAACACACACACGAGTTGGTGGTTGTGCTGCCCGGAGCCTCCAGTCCGCGAGTGTGAAGAACGGACCAGATGGGTCCAGCAGTGCTGGGTCAAGGCGAGGAGGGGGCAGCCGGAAGCGCGCGCATGCTCTGGACTCCTGCAGCCGCCGAAACGGGTGCGCAGGGGGCGCGCGGGTTGAGGGGTGAGGGGCGACGGGTGTGAGGGGCGAGAGGGACGGGAGCGGGGTAGGGGCAGCCCTTTCCCAGGCGGTAGCGGGGACTGTGGTGCTGTTGCCCTTTTAAGCTGCGGCTTGACAGGAGCAGCGTCTCCTGTCGGTGGAGTCTGTTACAAGGGGAGCAGCCGCCCAGGCCGCCACACAGCTCCCCGCAGAGGCCTCGGTGCCCCTTGCCATCTTCCAGCCCTACTCCGACTAGAGTTGAGGCATCAGGGAGAGGCGGAGCTGGGAGAGCGCCGCCGAGAGGTCCCGCGGGTGGTTGCGGCCGTGACAGCGGCTCCCGACGGGCTCACCTTCCGCGCCCCTCCCGCCAGAGGTGAGAGTAAAATGTCCGTGTGAGGGTTCAAGGCCAAGCTGAGGTTGTTGGCCTCTATCTTCCACAAGAACCAGGAGCCGCCGCCGCAGCTCACGCTCCACTGCAACATCACGGTGAGGCGCCCAGTGGCGGCCTCACGGGGCAGGGCGAGGGCGGAGAGGAGGCGCCCAGAGTCCCGAGACAAAGGGGAGCCTGCCCGGGAGAGGCCCCGGTTCCCCAGGCGGGGCGAGCGCGCCCCTTTCTCCCGCGTCTGGCCCGCCCCGCTGTGTGAGGCTTGCGTGGGAGGAGGGGGAGGGCGCGTCTCTCTGGCTCCTTGCCGCGGGGCTGGCTTGGGGGCTGCCGGCACCTCTCGCCCCAGTCGCTGCGCCCTGAGGTGGGAGCCCGCGTCGCCCGCAGACCTTTTGGGGCCCATGATCGCCCTCAGTCAGCTAGCCTGCTCCCCTGGACCGCGACGGGGCGTGGCAGGGCGGCTCCCGCTGTTGTTTGAGCCCAGTGAGGGAAGGGGAAAGGCCTTTAAGATTTTCGGTTTTTTGGCCGGGCGCAGTGCTCATTCCTGTAATCCCAGCACTATGGGAGACTGAGGCAGCTGGATCTCCTGAGGTCAGGAGTTCTAGACCAGCCTGGCCAACATGGTAAAACCCTGTCTCTACTAAAAATACAAAAATTAGCCGGGCATGGTGGCAGGCGCTTCTTGAGATGGAGTCTCACTCTGTCGCCCAGGCTGGAGTGCAGTGGAGCGATCTCGGCATACTGCAGCCTCCATCTCTTGACAGTCTGTGGGTTCAAGCGATTCTCCTGCCTCAGCCTCCCGAGTAGCTGGGATTACGGGCGCCCGCCACCACGCCTGGCTAAGTTTTGTGTTGTTTAGTAGAGATGGGGTTTCATCATGTTGGCCAGGCTGGTCTCGAACTCCTGACCTCAAATGACCCATCTCTGCCTCCCAGAGTTCTGGGATTACAGGCCTGAGCCACCGCGCCCAGATCCAAGGCCCTTAAGCTTAAATGCCTCGTTCTTCAGTCAGGTTTTCCTTGTTCCCGCATGTTCAGCCAATCGTGTTTAAGGAGAAACTAACAATGAAAACGGACTCGTTGATGGAGGAAAAGTTGGAATGCAGCCTCTGGTGCTGTTTGAGCGATCCCTCTACCCCGGGTCGCTGCTGTGTTCTGGAAAGGCGCATTGTACCCTGGATGCAGCAGGTAAGAGTCCTGTCCAGGTGCTCTGCCCGCTTTTCCTTTCAGGCTTCTGTATCAGCTGTTTTTCCCCTGTAGAATGTGCCCCTGACAGCCACCCCCTAACCCTACCCAATTTGTCTTTACGTGTCTGACCATCAAGGCTCTTCTGGGTCATATTTAATTCATGCTGATATTTCCCCTTCCTCCCCTCTTTAGTCCTCACTATTTTTGCTTTGGTCATGTTATGCTATATTCTGTAAGGCTTTAAAAAAATTTTTATGGTGGCAGGGGAGAATGTTTTATAATTATGCTTTGTGCTTTTTATCTTCCACTCAATAAATGCTTGGTAAATATTTGTTTTATTGAATGTATGACCCTATTCTAGCTATATTGTGCTTGAACAAAAACCTTAACTGCCTAGTAAGTTAACTGCTAAGAATTTGTCAGAAGTGCAGACATAACATCAAGAACTTGTCATGGATAGTACAAAAACGTCTCTTAAGGGCTTGGTGGAAGCCTGTAAATTGACTTCCTATGAAAGAGAGTGTAAGAAGTGAAAATGTAAAGCATGACTGGAGAGCCAGAGTGATGAAGCCAGGGTCCCTTTCTCCAGATCCTTTGTAACAGTGTTATGTGATCTCTTCTAGAAGATCGTTCTGAAAGATAATGCCAACTCGGAACCTAGGAAACCATCCAGTGGGTTTCTGCAGCTTAGGTGTTTCAAATCCTCATCAGCACGTTTGTTTTCTCTGCCTCAGTTTGCTTACAATGATGTTCTCAGTAACTACAATTGCTGTCTTTGAATACGTAAGCATTTTTTTTTAGGTGACAGGGATATATGTGCATTTTTATTTTACCAAGTGTTAGAATTTTGACTCTGCTTTTGTGGGCTCTGGGTTAGCTACTTGGTTGTTGTAAAATGATTAGCAGGGAAAGCTGTGTGTGTGTGCGTGTGTGTGTGTGTGTGTGTGTGTGTGTGTGTGTAAGTTTTTGTTGTCAGAGGACTTAGAATTTTATTTTATATGGTAATTCTGTCAATTTACTTTATTCTCCACCCCACATTTATTGAACAGCAAATTATGAAAGTAATGTGTCCCATAAGCAGCCTTCAGAAGAATTACAACTGCTGTATATCTGAAATTCTTTTTTTTATTTTTTATTTTGAGATGGAGTCTCACTCTATCACCCAAGCTGGAGTACAGTGGTGCAATCTTGGCTCACTGGAACCTCTGCTGCCCAGGTTCAAGCAATTCTCCTGCCTCAGCCTCCTGAGTAGCTGGGATTACAGGCACCTGCCACCGCACCTGGCTAATTTTTGTAGCTTTAGTAGAGACAGGTTTCACCATGTTGGCCAGGCTGGTCTTGAATTCCTGACCTCGTGATCTGCCTGCCTCAGCCTCCCAAAGTGCTGGGATTACAGGTGTGAGCTACCGCACCTGGCTGAACTTTCAAGAAGAAGTTTGTGCATCAGTTTTCAAAAAATTATGATATCAAAAGATAGCTGTGCCCTACATTTGGAAAGATACAAAAACTGAACATACTGGCAGGCAGTTTTGCTTGCTGGTGCTTGAGATAGAGGCACACATTGGTCTCAGTGGAATTATGGAGAAAAATAGATAAAGTTATTTCTAAATAAGACCAAAAAATCCTTTTCTTAAGCAGTGACAGGTAAAGAGGTTGTCTTGACTAACCTTGAATTGTGTTGCCCTTGATTGAGACAGTTTTATGGTGGGATGGTAGTGGTGATAAACTTGCTGGAAATTTGTCTGCTTATAGTAACCTTTGTGGTAGCTGTCACAGACAACTTCATCCTCACAGGCCTTGAAATTAGTATAAAACTAACAGAATGGAGGAGAAACAAAGGACCTGAATAATTAGATGCTTAGATAATTGTTCCGTGTTTTCATAACTGGTGAAAAAGAGCAGTATTAGAAGCACTTACACATTCTATAGAAGGAACACTGCCTGAATTTATATTGCGATTTTTGAGCACCATTAACTGTATAAAAACAGGCATATTGTAGGTAATATTTTAAAGACAAACAGAAAATTTATCTTTTCAAGATGGATCTAAAACTTATCAAAATTACAAAATTTAAAATGTGATTGAAAAATATTAATGCATAGGTTTAAATATTGGTCATTTTAAATGTCTTTCAAAATAGATTGTCTCTTAAATATTCAACTGAACAAACTTTGAACATGTTGTAGAGTTTGTGCCGAAGGTTAAATTTCCTGGGGTGATGGATATTTTGTAATATGGAAAACAAAACCTTCTTATTTTAAGAAATTTAGAAAACTTTTAGGCAAAACTAGAAAATATTACCTATGTAATTCTACCACTCAGAAGGTGCCACTGTCAGAAATTTGTATCTTTCCAGTCATCTGCTCACCTCTTTTCTCCTGTGCTTGTATATGTTTCCTCTCCCTTAAAAATCAGATATTTGTTTGTAATCTGCTTTTTCACTCAACAGTATTGTAGATCCATGTTATAACTTACTCCTCTACATTGCCTTCAGTTATTGTGTGCTTTCTGTTGGATGACTTTACCATGTAGTCAGTCATGTTTTCTGGTACTGAATACATACGGGTATGTGTGTGTGTGCGTGCGCGTGTGTGCGTATTTTTTTGTAACTTAACTAATGCTTTAGACATCAGTAGGTAGACGTAAATCCTTGAAACCTTCCACGTGGTGACTTTCAGTTCTCATTGCTGAATTTGTTTCCAGAGATGGAAGAAATTATATTGTATGGGAACTTTTTTTTTCTTTTTTTTTTTTCTTTTTTGAGATGAAGTCTTGTTCTTGTCACCCAGGCTGGAGTGCAATGGCGTGATCTCACTGCAACCTCCACCTCCTGGGTTCAAGCAATTCTCCTGCCTCAGCCTCCCGAGTAGCTGAGATTACAGGCGCATGCCACCATGCCTGGCTAATTTTTGTATTTTTAGTAGAAACGGAGTTTCACCATGTTGGCCAGGCTGGTCTTGAACTCCTGACCTCAGGTGATTTGCCCACTTCAGCCTCCCAAAGTGTTGGGAATACAGGTGTGAGCCACTGTGCCCAGCCTTTTTTTCATCTCAGTACCAGCTTTTATTTATCAGATTGGTAAAAATGTTAGAAAGTGTGCAATGAAATGGGCATTCTTACAGTCATGGCAAAAAATGTAATTATCTTTGACTTTCTAGAAAGTAGTTTGGCTTTCTAGAAACTTGTTTGAATTCTCCCTGTTTAGGCAGGATGAATTCTCACTACCCCAAGGTGGCCAACCTTGTCCCTGTGATTCCATCTCTCCCAGAAAGAGAGGTCTAGTCTCAGGGAAAACCCAGATTTGTTTGGCTTAGCCCATCTGACAGCTAATCACTGGAAATGGGGTGGGCTGGTAGAATGCTTTGGTCAGGTTTTGTGTTGAGAGAGAGGTGGAAAGATGGGAGGGAGGTAGCAAAACTTGCCTCAGTGGAACTATGTAAGTTAATATAGAATGGCAAAGGGATGTTTCTTCCAAGGAAGAAATTCTAGAGAAGGAAGAAAGTGGAGGGGAAGGCAGCAGTTCTCCAAGTTTTGGGGTCAGGATTCCTTTACACTCTTAAAAATACATTGAGGTCCCAAGGAGCTTTGGTTTATGTAGGGTATATCTATTGGTATTTATCACTAGAAATTAAATCAGAAATATTTAAAATATTGTTTAAAAGCTCACCACATATTGTTATAAATGCTTTTATGAAAAGAAAATTTCTAAACCCAAAGTAGTACAGTCTTACATCTTTTGCAAATTATTTTGATGTTTGATATGTCATTTGCATGATGTTTGATATGTCATTAGCAAATTGATATGTCAGTTTGCTTCTGCATTCAATTTATTGTGTGATATTTTCTTGAAAAAATGTGAACAAAGGCCAATCTCATACAGATAACCATTTTAGATCATTGTGGATATATATATTTTTTTGAGATGAGGTCTTGCCCTGTTGCCCAGGCTGGAAGGTAGTGGTGTGATCACAGCTCACTGCAGCCTCAGTCTCCAGGGACTAAGGTGATCCTCCCACCTCAGCCTCCAGAGTAGCTGGGACTACAGGTGTGTACCACCACACTTGGCTAACTTTTTGTATTTTTTGTAGAGACAGGGTTTTGCCATGTTGCCTAGGCTTCTTTTTTGATACTCCATCAAATCTTGGTTTTTCTTGAACTTTGGATCTTCCACCCTTGCATGATATTACAACATCGTGCATTGGTCACTTATAAAATAGTGGTTCACTAAGATCTTCTACATGTTGATACATTTGTACAGTATCAAAATACATTCATCAGTACCACCATCAATCTCATCAGAATACTTTTGGAAAGCGATGGTGGGCATAAGTTTTCTAAAATTCTAATTTTTTGTTCAAAAGCTTGAATTTTATTAGTAATTTTGTTATTGAATTTTATTATAGCCTGTCTGTTGTTTTCCTTGAAATGACAGAATCTCATGTTTTGAGAAAATATCTGCCAGAAATGCGAGTTAAAATAACATTTTTTGTCAGTCAGCCTTTCAAGTAAAAATGGTATTCCATTAAAGTGGTTAATTCACTTCATGACTTAGTCACTCAAGGGTTTTTCCTCAGGCAGCCTGTAGGAATGCTCATGTATACTTCCCATTTCATCACTTGAAATATTAAAAAGATATATTCAATGATTTAGATATAGTAAAATATTCACTGCTTCATCATAGACATTCTTTTTTTTTTTTTTTAATTTTCGAGACAGGGCCTTGTTCTGTCACCCAGGCTGGAGTGCAGTAGCGTGATCACAGCTCACTGCAGCCTCAACTTTCTGGGTTCAGTCAATCCTCCTGCCTCAGCCTTCCAAGACGCTGGGACTACAGGCATGCAGCCACTGTGTTCAGCTAATTTTTGTATTTTTTGTAAAGATGAGGTTTCACCAGGTTGCCCAGGCAGGTCTTGAACTCCCGGGCTCAAGGGATCCCCCTGCCTGGGCCTTCCAAAGTGCTGGAATTACAGACATGAGCCAAAATTCCCAAACTTATCATAGACATTCTTAAATGAAACTGACCTTTTGTTGCCCTTCCTTTTTATTTTTATTTTTGGAGATGGAGTTTTGCTCTGTTGCCCAGTCTGGAGTTACATAGGTGCAATTTCAGCTCAAGGCAACCTCTGCCTCCCAGGTTCAAGTGATTCTCCTGCCTCAGCCTCCTAAGTATTTGGTAATACAGGCATGCACCACCACACCGAGCTAATTTTTGTATTTTTAGTAGAGATGGGGTTTCACCATGTTGGCCAAGCTCGTCTCAAACTCCTGACCTTAAGTGATCCGTCTACCTCAGCCTCCCGAAGCACTGGGATTACTGGTGTAGGCCACCATGTCCCACCCACCCTTCCTTTTTAAACCTTTCCTGTGCATAATGAAGAATACCATGACTACTAGTAGTTTGGTGTTACTGCTTTTGTTTGTGCTAAAGTACCAGCATTTTTACCCACCATTGTATTTGCACACTTACAGCAAATGTCACCATGTTAGTATTCCTGTCAAAATAGTTTGGACTTGGGGGTCTGAGGGCCGCACTTTGGGAACCATTGAAATAGGTACTTAGACGTACTAGATATCATATCTTTTCATCTACAAGGTTTTTAAAAACTTGATTTCAGTTAATTTTTTTTTGTAATTTTTAAAATATGGTTTTGAGGGGTTTCAGTCCAGAGCAACAACACGTATTTTATTTTGCTTATGCTGAAGTTTACTAGAAAATACTAACCTAACAGAATGAAGTCCTAAATCTAATTGAAATTTCCTTAGCCAAAAGTAAAAAAAAACGAAAATTAAAAGTGTAAAAATAGTCCATATGGTGTATTCTCAGTGTATGCTGAAGAATTTATAGAAGAAAATGCAATACTGAGGAACTGGTGTTCTTTAAGAATAGGGTTGGCTGGGCGCAGTGGCTCATGCCTGTAATCCCAACACTTTGGGAGGCCGAGGTGGGTGGATCATCTGAGATTAGGGGTTCGAGACCAGCCTGACCAACATAGAGAAACCCCGTCTCTACTAAAAATACAAAATTAGTGGGGCATGATGGCACATGCCTGTAATCCCAGCTACTCAGGAAGGCTGAGGCAGGAGAATTGCTTGAACCTGGGAGGTGGAGGTTGTGATGAGCTGAGATCGTGCCACTGCGCTCCAGCCTGGGCAACAAGAGCGAAAACTCGGTCTCAAAAAAGAAAAAAAAGAATAGGAGTAATTCTGAAGAGTTTCTTTTAGCCTGTAAAGAGATTTGGAACACAGTAAGAGAGGAATGAGAAGAATGAGAATAGTAAAATAAACCATTATTGAAGAGATATACTGTTAATTATGTCCTCCATCAATACAACTTGTTTTTCTTTTTGTTTGTTTGTTTTTTGAGATGGAGTCTTGCTCTATCGCCAGCCTGGAGTGCAGTGGACATCTCGGCCCACTGAAACCTCTGCCTCCTGGGTTCAAGTGATTCCCCTGCCTCAGCCTCCTGAGTAGCTGGGACTACAGGCACCCGCCAGCGCGCCCAGCTAATTTTTTTGTATTTTTTTAGTAGAGATGGGGTTTCTCCGTGTTAGCCAGGACGGTCTCGATCTCCTGACCTCGTGATCCGCCCACCTCGGCCTCCCAAAGTGCTGAGATTAGAGGCGCGAGCCACCGTGCCCAGCCCATCTTGCTTTTCTTAAAAAGGAACCTTCAGTAAATATTTGGTTTCTGTGGCTTCAGCTTTAACTCAGATTACAGTTTTCAAAGCAGTGTTGCCTAAAGTTGTTTGTGCAAAATTGTTTTCTGTGACTTGAACCTAGTTATTCTGAAACTAATATATAATAATAATGGTTTTTCCCCAATTTATAATAGAGAACAGTACAAAGTAACAGCGGGAACGTCTGTTAGTGGGTGAAAGCACATAATGCATAGTTCATTAGCTTTTTTAAAAAATCACATGTAATTGTGTTACAAAAATATATGTATAGTAATGGCATTTACTTGGTATTACTTGGTTTGTGTGATAGAATAAAATATTAGAATTTTATGGTGTTTGAGTTAGTTATCTATTGCTCTGTAACAAATTGAGCAGCTTAAAATAACAAACATTATCTCAGTTTCTGTGGGTCAGGATTCTGTCCAGTTTACCTTGGGTTCACTGGCTTGGCCTCTCACCAGGCAGTGAAGGTGTTGGTGGTGGCTGTGATCATCCCAAGGCAGGATAGGGAGAGAATCTGTCTCCAAGCTCAGGTTGGCAGGATTCATCTCAGAGGCTGCTGCACTGGGCCTCCGTTTCTAGATGGCTATTGGTCAGAGGCTTTTTACAATACCTTGTCACGTGGGCCTCTCCATAGGGCACCTCATCACATGGCAACTGGCTTCCATCAGAGGGAGCAATGGAAAGAGCAGGAGAAGGGTGACCAAGGCAGGCATCGTAGTCTCCTTGTAGCCTCACCTCAGAAGCGATGTTACTTTTGCTGTATTCTCTTTGTTAGAAGTGAGTCACTAGGTCGAGGGGTGGAATTTTACAAGGGTGTGAATGGCAGGAGGTGAGGGTGATCAGGGCCATTTAGAGGCTGCCTACCAGTGTTGAAGAAAACTGTTGACTTCTATGAGCTGTAGCAGCAGACAGTGCTATGCAAGGAGAATGGCTGTCTCAGAAGTCCAGCTCCTCACATGGGTTTAAACGTGTTGCCTTTTCCCCCATACATTTTGTTTAAATCCATGGTCATCTTGCCATTTAGTGGTGTGGTTTAATTGCATATTTGGGTTAGTCTGTATGTAAACATTTAACATAGGTGTCTCTGGGTTAAACAGGAATCCTATTCATCTTCTTCACCGATATGGTTTGTGGACTCTGATGAGCCAAATCTGACATCAGTTCTGGAACGTCTAGAAGATACTAAGGACAACAGTTCGGTAAGGAAAGAAACCAAGCTATTTTCTCTTTTCCTCATGAACATTATATTTAGAAATTAAATGTTAAATGATAATATTATATAAAAACATGATTAATAACTATAATCTTAGAGGAATTAAAGTCTGGGTATTTTAAGTCCTCCAAATCTTATTTACTACCTGGTTTCTCTTTATTATTTCCCACATGTATAATCTTAGTTTAGATTAGCAATTCGGGATCTCTTTTTCCCTGAATTCTAACCATTAAGCCAAGCAAGCATTTTGGGTGGAGACCACTAGCCAAGGTGGGAAGTAGAAAGAAGACCAAGGTGGAAGTGAAGGGAGAGATGGGGAGAATGACACCAGAACTAGTGGGAGGGAATTGCCTTTTCTTTCAAGGGTCTGTAAGTCTGCAGTAAAAGTCAAAGGTATTCAAATAGGAAGTTTTGTTTTTGTCTTTAGTATATAAAGAAGCATAACTTTCCATTTTGCAAAAACTTTAGAAATCTTTTTTCTTGATTATAAAACTTATAAGCAACCATTATTGAGAAGATTAGTAAAATATAAAAAAATAAAAATCTCACATAATTTCTCTACCTAATATAAGTACTGTTGACATGATAGCTAGTTTCTATCAGTATGTATTGCTTCTTTGTTATCAAAGTACTTATACCCTTACAGATATGTTTAAATAGTTGAGGTCATATTCTATAAATATCTATAAATAGCTGGGTGCTGTGGCTCACACCTGTAATCCCAGCACTTTGGGAGGCCGAGGCAGGCAGATCACAAGGTCAGGAGTTTGAGACCAGCCTGGCCAATATGGTGAAACCTCATCTCTACTAAAAATACAAAAATTAGCCCGGTGTGGTGGCAGGTGACTGTAGTCCCAGCTACTCGGCAGGCTGAGGCAGGAGAATTGCTTGAACCCAGGAGGCAGAGGTTTCAGTGAGTCGAGATCGCACCACTGAGGTCCAGCCTGGGTGGCAGAGCAAGACTCCATCTAAATAAATAAATTATGTATACACACACATACACACACCCTCATATATATATACACACATATGTGTGTGTATATACACACACACACACACACACACACACACACACACACATACACCTACACATGACCGATTGCCTCGCCTCTAGCATTGGGAATCAGTCACCGTGCTGTCCTTGTGGAGTCTTGTGGCCCAACAAGAGGAAGCTCTCCCCTGACATTGCCCCTCCAAAGTGCGCCACTTCCAGTGCGCCCCACTGTCATGCCCGGCCTGTGGACAGCCAGACCCTGCCATCCCTCCCACCCCCGACCAAGCATGGGGGTGCTCTGTAGGTAGCTGTGTGGCCTGACAGTCTCTACCAGTCCTGCTGTCCCTCAGCTGAGAATCAAACCCATTTCTGGATGACAGGGAATGTGTCTTCTGCTGGCTGTGTTCTCTGTGGAGCTCAGGGGAGGGAAAAGGCCAAGCTATTTCTAGGGTGCTGTCAGGACCGATGAAAAGGTCACACCCTTTCCAAGAGACACTTTTCCTGGAAAGCCCCTGGAGCTTAGCTGGCTCTTATCCTGTGATAAGCCAGAGGCTCTGGGGGGTGAGGGAGCAGAAACCCTCCTCACCCCAGCCAACGGGGACCTGTATACCTCTGCCAGTCTCTCACTTGGCCTTGCTGCTGTCCTCTGAGACTGCCTGTTCCTCCCTCTCTGTGACTCTACACCACCATCACCTCCTCCAGGAAGTCCTCTGGATTGACTCCTAGCTTATTACATCTTTATTGTGCAGACCCTCTCCATTCAAAGCCCCTCTTCAACTGCCCCCCCCCACTACCTCCAAGACAGAGATTCTGGGTTCTTGCAACTGCAGCCCCTCAGAGAGTGTAAGAGGGGCAGAAAAAGGAGATCAGGAGGTGAGGGAAGCAGCGCTGTCAGAGTTTCCAAAGCCCCGGCCAGCAAGGCCTCAGAGGCCTCTGTTGGAGTGGGGGCCTCCCTGGCTATGCGCTCCAGCTGCACAAGGCAGCCTCTGTGAGCCTCTCCCACTCAGCCCTACAGGAAGCAGCAGGGCCCAGCCTCAATGGACCCATTCAGACCCCAGCGCTCCGGAAAGTACCTCTGCTTCCTGCCACCATTCCACTCTGGCCAAACAGGCTCTACTCTCTTCTGATGGGAGGAGGCCGCAGGCAGGTGGTTCAGTGGTTAGGGCCAACCATCTACTTCAGTTCCTGTCTGGCCCAGATCTCTGACCTTGACCATGCCCTAGTGGGTGTATGTATACCTTTAGTGCAAGGGTGGTGTGACAGTTAATACTGAGTGTCAACTTGATTGGGTTGAAGGCTGCAAAGTATTGACCTACTGGAAGTGTCTGTGAGGGCATTGTAAAAGGAGATAAACATTTGAGTCAGTGGGCTGGGGAAGGCAGACCCACCTTTAATACTGGTGGGTACCATCTTTCTAATCAGCTGCTAGCGAATATAAAGCAGGCAGAAAAACATGAAAAGGTAAGATTGGCCTAGCTTCCCAGCCTACATCTTTCTCCCATGCTGGACACTTCCTGCCCTCTAACATCGGACTCCAGGTTCTTCAGTTTTGAGACTCGGATTGGCTCTCCTTGCTCCTCAAACTTGCAGACAGCCTATTGTGGGACCTTGTGATTGTGTAAGTTAATACTTCATAAACTCCCCTTTATATATCTATCTATATCTATATCTATTATCTATATCTATATCTATATCTATTATCTATATCTATATCTATATCTATATCTATATCTGTCTATATCTCCTATTAGTTCTGTCCCTCTAGGGAACCCTGATTAACACAGGTGGGTAGGCACAGGGAAATGTGCCCCCTTCCCCGTGGGTGCTGGGTAGGTAAATGTTTCGCAAAGGGCTTTCTTGGGGAGAGGGAACCCTGATTTTCAGTATTTGCCTCTTTTCCTGGTATAAATATTCCCACTGTGGGCAGTATCACCTGCCTCTCAAAATTCCTGAAAATTCAACAGTTGGCTCCTGGCAGCTGCTGTGAGCCGTTCCAGCCGGTGACTGTGGTGGCTCCATCCTGCAGGGCCATGTGCCCCCACCCCTTGTGCTATGGCCTCCCTCACTTTAGTGTGCTGTGTTTTGCTCTTAGGAATCAATGTCTTTGCAGATAAGGCACCCCAGTAGCTGGCCACCACCTGCAGTTCCCTGGTCTGTCTCTTGCTGGCACCAAGCTGTGCTGTGCCTGCTGAGACTGCTGGGCCACCCCCGTGCATATGGTCTGCGGGGCTTACTTGATTCCCTTAGCTTCCCAGCCAAGGTGCTGGTGTTGCCAGCAGTGCTGGCAGGAGGAGGGGATAACTAGAGGGGATTTAACTCAACCCGAGGGGCTCTTACGGGATCTTTCCTGGATATCCCTCCAGGTGGGACTGGCTGCCCTGAGGGTATACAAACCTCCAACTCCTCCAATGGCTGAAGCTACTTCCTCGAGCAGATGGCAGCTGGCTCAGGCTGGCTAGGGACCAGTGCATGTGAGGTCGGTGCTGGATCACCCCATCAAGGCCATCAGCCTGTGCTTGTTCTTGGGGTTTGAGGGAAACCCAACAGGGATGAATCACAGTTTTTAACCTGTGTTTGTCTGCCCCCCAGCCCTGGACATCTGCAGGCAAAGTTAAAGTTATATTTGGCTCTTATCACCGCAAAAGGCATAAACCAGAAATTATGGCATCGGGTTGGAAGTCAGGGAGGCTAATTTGGGGAAACTGCCTGGAGGAAGCAGCAACTCAAAAGAGGAGGAGTCCCACTGTGGGACAGAACAGGCCCTGCATAAGAACCACTAATCCCAGGCAAGCCCAGACATGGCCTTCTGCCTGGGGAGGCCCTCTTTGGCCTGCTCAGCAGACCCTCAGCCCCTTCTAGGCCCTGTCTTCAGCCTCAGACTGAGTGGTGGCCTGGGGAGGTTGGGAGCTGAGCTGTTCTCATCCCTGGTTCCTTGGCCACGGTGGAAACAATGGGGCCGGATCTGACTGCTCAGCGGGGACTGTGAATAGCTCTCTAGCAGGAAGCAACAGCAGGGGTAGTGGAGGAAGTGTGGGCCCACTTTGGTTTGACACTGCATATGGTCCCCATCTGGCCTGAGAGCCTTTACTCCTTGGCAAACTCAGGCCAATAAGCTCCTGCCCCCACCCTCAATGGCAGCTGGAAGAATGGCCTGAGGGAGAAGCAGGGATAGGTGGGCTGCAGTGACATCACCCCCAGATCCCAGCCGTGGCCCCAGCCAACCCATGGAGGTGGGGCATGGCACGGCAGGTGCTGCACAGGAGCCCAAGCACAAGAGCACTTAGGAGAAGGAATCTGAGCAGGGATCGATCTGGCCTGGTGGTGATTCTCCAGAAACTCCATTCCTCAGGGCTGTGACCACCAAGCCAGGTGATCAGGCCAGTGATGTTTCCCTTTGGGCCAGGTCGGGGAGCCAGACCTGGGAGGGAGACTCCTCTGGGGCCCAGGGGAGGTGAGTCAGAGCTGGCAGAGGCCTCTGGCTCCAGGAACCTCCAAGGAGGAGACCTGAGTTGCTGGGAATTTCTGGGTCTGACCTCCTGCCAAGTCAAGGTCTGGGCTGGACACAAGGTGAGGCTGTGCCTTCTGGTGCCAGGACCAAGGAAATGCTGGGATCTGGGCAGTGCTCAGAGGCAGCACCGTATGGCAGAACCATGAGGGTGCACCAGCACGGACCCCTTTCTGCAACCCACCCATCCCTCCCTGCAGCACCTCGCCTCCTCCAGGCAAGAATCTGAGCCTTGACCACAGCTCCCTCTCTCACACAGCTTCCTTCTTTGGTTAGAACCACCCGGAGGTGACTGTGGCCATGGCTCTGACTGACATAGACCTGCAGCTGCAGTTCTCCATGTCCCAACCCGAAGCCCTCCTTCTCCTGGCAGCAGGCCCAGCTGACCACCTCCTGCTGCAGCTCTACTCTGGACACCTGCAGGTGAGTGACGTCCCCCTGGGATTGGGGCGAGATTCCTTGTCTAGCTTTGAGTGAACCCCAGCTGGCTGTTGACCTTGTGTAAGTCACTTTTCTTGGGGTCTCAAGTTCTCCACTGTGGGATGGGCAGCAGCAGCTCAGAAATGGTAAATCCTTCATGAACTGGCTCTGCCCACCGGCTCCTTCCAACCATGTTTCCCACCACAAGCCCTCACTGGCCCTTTGTGCTCTGACTGCACTGAACTGCTTTCAGTTCCTGGCCATCTTATGGTCACTTGCAGCCAGGCCTTTGGTCATCACACTCCTCCTGCCAGGTGTGTGACCCACCCATTCCCTGTACCTGCCGAACTCTAGTCTCTCCTTGAAGTTTCAGTGTGGGCATCCCCTCCTCCTCGGCGAGACCCCCTCCTGGGCCCCCATGACCCCTGCGCATCCTGGTGGCACTGCACCAATTTATCTGCAGCACCACTGTCTGTCCATGAGAGTAACAGCACCAGTACTGCCTCAGCTTCATTTTTCCATTTCATCCTTCAAGACACCACAAGCTTTATTATCAAGGAGTCTTGTGGCTCCTACTTGAGTCTTACCCCATACCAGGAAGAGTTTAAGAACCCAGGGTCTTAGTCCAAATTTGGGGCAGGCTGGGTGCAGTGGCTTATGCCTATAATCCCACCACTTTGGGAGACCAAGGTGGAAAGATCACTTGAGCCTAGGAGTTCAAGACTGGCCTGAGCCACACAATGAGACCCCATCTCTATTTTAGAAGGAAAAAAAAAAACAAATTAACAAATTTGGGGCAGCCATCTCTTTCCACACCCCAGTGGGAAGAGGACTAGGGCTTGGTCAGTCTGCTGCTGTCATTGCTGCTCATTGCCACAAGGTGTCACTGTTGAACACCTATGTGGTGCAGTCTGGTGCTGATGGCTGCTGAGCTGTGCAGGTAGTGATGCCACATCCCTACAGAGATGCACCATACCAGGACTCCAAGATCATGGTTCTTAGTGTTCTGGTTCTGCAGTTCCCATACTCTGCCATCACCTATTCTAGCATCTGGGAGCACCATACCAGAGCCATTTCTTGTGTCAATGTCATGGTGACAGAACTATGTCCTTCATCTCTCCTTGAGATATTCCTCCACCACAGGTCAGGCAGCTTTTTTTTTTTTTTTTTTTTTCCAGAACACAGAGCATCTGCCTGGGCTCCCTGTCCCTGAACAGTTAGCCTGGCTTCCTTCAGTGACCTCGAGAAACTTTGCCAAACTTAGGGGGACTGATCAACGGATTCTCAGTTACCCATTATTCCAGGGGTGAAATCTAGATTCCAAGACAATATTTCTGGTGCTTCTCACTCAAGGAAAGAGGAGGAGAATTTAAAAATACAGGTTGGGTTTCTAGAAGAGCATCTTGCTATATGTCAGTTCCTTGTGGGCAAGGACCACATCTGATTCACACCAGGGTCCCCAGAGCCCATCCAGGCCTGGCCCAGAGTTTCCTTTGGTGAGTGTTTGGAGGATGAATAAAGAGATGGCAGGAAGGCAAGAGGAGTGGCACCAGAGGCCCTTGTCCTAGGTTTTCTGCTCTGGGGCCCCCTGTGGGGAACCCACTGTGCTTTTATAAGGGAAATGATGGATTCAAAGTGCTGCCCCCCATCTCCCATTCCCCGTCTCTCCTCAGGTCAGGCTTGTCCTGGGCCAGGAGGAGCTGAGGCTGCAGACCCCAGCAGAAATTCTACTGAGTGACTCCGTCCCCCACACCACAGTTCTGACTGTCTCAGAGGACTGGCCCACATTGTCAGTCAATGGGTTTCTGAATGCCTCCTCTGTAGTCCTGGGAGCCCCCCTAGAAGTCCCCTATGGGCTCTTTGTTGGGAGCACTGGGAGACTTGGCCTGCCCTACCTGAGGGGAACCAGCCATCCCCTGAGGGGTTGCCTCCATGCAGCCGCTCTCAATGGCCGCAGACTCCTCCAGCCTCTGACCCCCAATAAGCATGAGGGCTGTGCTGAAGAGTTTTCTGCCAATGACGATGTGGCCCTGGGCTTCTCTGGGTCCCACTCTCTGGCTGCCTTGCCTGCCTGGGGCACTCAGGATGAAGGAACCCTGGAGTTTACACTCACCACACAGAGCTGGCAGGCACCCTTGGCCTTCCAGGCAGCAGGCTGGCATGGGGACTTCATCCATGTGGACATATTTGAGGGCCACCTGTGGTCCATGGTTGAGAAGGGCCAGGGTACTGTATTGCTCCTCAACAGTGTGCCTGTGACTGACGCACAGCCCCACAAGGTCAGCATCCACATCAACATTCACCAGCTAGAAATCTCCATGGACCAGTACCCCACACGAACTGAGGAGTCCTCAGCTACCTGGAGCCACGTGACAGTCTCCTTCTTGGGGAGCTGGTTGCAGAGGCCTCTCATCACCTCCAGGAACACCGCTCAGGCCTGACACCAGGGGCTGCCAATGCCTCCCTGCTGGGCTGGCTGCATGGAAGACCTCAGTGTCAATGGCTAGAGGCAGGGGCTGTGGGAAGCCTTGCTGACGCACAACATGGTGGCTGGCTGCAGACTGGAGGAGGTAGACAATGCCTATGGCCATTATGAAGCTTTCTCCACCCTGGCTCCCAAGGCTTGGCTGTCTGTGGAGCTAGCTGAGCCATGCGTGCCTGAGCCAGGGCTACCTCCTGTCTTTGCCAATTTCATCCAGCTGCTATCAGCGCAGTGGTGGTGACCGAGGGTGGCACAGCCTGGCTTGAGTGGTGGCATGTGCAGCCCATGCTGGCACTGATGGAGGCTGAACTGCGTAAATCCCAGGTGCTGTTCAGTGTGACCTGAGGGGCACACTACAGCGAGCTCGAGCTGGATGTCCTGGGTGCCCAGGCATGAAAAATGTTCACCCTCCTGGACGTGGTGAACTGCAAGGCCCGCTTCATCCACGATGGCCCTGAGGACACCTCTGACCAGCTGGTGCTGGAGGTGTCAGTGATGGCTTGGTTGCCCATGCCCTCATGCCTGCGGAGGGGCCAAACAGACCTCCTGCCCATCCAGGTCAACCCTGTCAATGACCCACCCCACATCATCTTCCCACATGGCAGCCTTATGGTGATCCTGGAACACACACAGAAGCCTCTGGGGCCTGAGGTTCTCCAGGCCTATGACCTGGACTCTGCCTGTGAGGGCCTCGCCTTCCAGCTCCTTGGCACCCCCTCTGGCCTCCCCGTGGATCACCGAGACCAGCCTGGGGAGCCGGTGACTGAGTTCTCCTGCTGGGAGTTGGAGGCCGGCAGCCTAGTCTATGTCCACTGTGGTGGCCCTACACAGGACTTGACATTCCGGGTCAGCAATGGACTGCAGGCCAGCCCCCCGGCCATGCTGAAGGTGGTGGCTGTCCAGCTGGCCATACAAATCCACCGCAGCACAGGGCTGCATCTGGCCCAGGGCTCTGCCATGCCCATCTTGCCTACCAACCTGTTGGTGGAGACCAGCGCCGTGGGGCAGGATGTGACCGTGCTGTTCCATGTCACCGGAGGCCTGCCGTTCAGGGAGCTGCAGAAGCAGGGGGCTGGTGGGGTGGAGGATGCTGAGTGGTGGGTCACACAGGCGTTCCACCAGCAGGATGTGGAGCAGGGCCACGTGAGGTACCGCAGCACTGACCCACAGCACTACACCGAGGACACCGTGGAGAACCTGGATCTGCAGGTGCAGGTGAGCTGGGAAATCCTGAGCAATCTGTCCTTCCTAGTGACCATCCAGAGAGCCACTGTGTGGATGCTGCAGCTGGAGCCACTGCACACTCAGAACACCCAGCAGGAGGCCCTCACCACAGCCCACCTGGAGGCCACCCTGGAGGAGGCAGGCCCAAGCCCCCCAACCTTCCACTGTGAGGTGGTTCAGGCTCCCAGGAAAGGCAACTTTCAACTACAGGGCACGATGCTGTCAGACGGTCAGGGCTTCACCCAGGATGACGTACAGGCTGCAGAGGTGACCTATGGGGCCATGGCACGTGCCTCAGTGGCAGTGGAGGACACCTTCTGTTTCCATGTCACAGCTCCACCATATTTCTCCCCACTCTGTACCTTCTCCATCCATATTGGCGGTGACCCAGACATGCCTGTCCTCACCAATGTCCTCGTGGTGCCCGAGGGTGGTGGGTGTGTCCTCTCTGCTGACCAGCTCTTCGTCAAGAGCCTCAACAGTGCCAGGTACCTCTATGAGGTCATGTAGCAGCCCTGCCATGGGAGGTTCTTAGCGTGGGACACAGGACAAGATCACTATGGTGACATCCTTCACCAATGGAGACCTGTTGCGTGGCCAGCTGGTCTAGCAGCATGATGACTCCGAGATCACGGAAGATGATATGCCATTTGCTGCTGCCGCCAGGACCAGAGCAGTGGTGACGTGGCCTGGGAGGAGGTACGGGGCCATCCAGCCTGTGAATGACCACGCCCCTGTGCAGAGCATCAGCTGCGTCTTCCATGTGGCCTGGGGTAGGTGGCAGCTGCTGACTACAGACAACATGGCCTTCAGCAATGCTGATTCGGGCTTTGTGGATGCCCAGCTGGTGCTGACCCACAAGGACCTCCTCTCTGGCAGTATCATGGCCACGGATGAGCCCATGCAGCCCATCTGCTGCTTCATCCAGGAGGGGCCTCAGGAAGAGGCGAGTCCTGTTCACGCACTCAGGCTGACTACAGCTGGATCCTGCTGCAGGTGTCCGACAGGCAGCACCAGGCCATCATGGTGCTGGAGGTGCAGGCCTTGGAGCCTTACCTCTGTGTGGCCAACGGCTCCAGCCTCATGGTCCCTCAAGGAGACCAGGGTACCATCAACATGGCCGAGCTCCACCTTGGCACCAACCTCGACATCCGCAGCGGGGATGAGGTCCACTACCACGTCACAGACAGCCCTCGCTGGGGACAGTTGCTGCAGGCCACTCAGCCAGCACTGCCTTCTCCCAGCAGGACCTGCTGGTTGGGGCCATTCTCTTTGGCCACAATGGCAGCCTCAGCTCCCGCAACACCCTGGCCTTCTCAATGGATGTGGGGCCTTCTCAATGGATGTGGGGCCAGTGCACACAGATGCCACCCTACAAGTGACCATTGCCCTAGAGGGCCCACTAGCCCCACTGAAGCTGGCCTGGCACAAGAAGATCTACATCTTCCAGGGAGAGGCAGCTGAGATCAGAAGAGACCAGCTGGAGGTGAGGAGCTGGGGGTGGTGAGTGGAGGTGTGGACCAGGTAGAGGGCCTTCCTCCCAGCCTCCCTGCCGGGAACACATGTGACTTGGGTTGTGCCTGTGGTGGTCCCAGGTTGCGTGTGTGCACGTGCCTCAGATGTGCTCCCATATATGTTGTGTTCCCAAGAGTTTCTGGGGAGCTTGCTGTACACCCATCCTCCGGGGAGTGGTGTGTGCCTCTAGAGATGGTGCCCACTCATGTCCATGGCATGGCTGAGCGTGCAGATTCCTGGACCCTAGCCAGCCCTACAGAATCTCTGAAGTGGAGCCGGAGAATCTGCATTGCAGTCAGTTCCCTGGGTGGGCATCACGGGTCCTGAACTTTTGGGATTGCTGGCTGTGGAGACAGGCCGCTGCCCCTCAGACCCCTGTGTACCCCGCTCTCTTCTCAGAGCCCAGACCAGGACTAGGAGGGTGTGTCAAGGGCTTCTGCTCATCCAGGAACCCCACAGAGCAGCCATGGGCCTTCCAGAGATCTCACTGACATGCCCTGTGACCTCAGGCCAGTCCTTGCCCGCTCTCAGCCTTACTCTCCCACACTGCTCATTTCAGAGACCCTTCTGGTCTGCATCTGGAGCTTGGGGCCCAAGGTGAGCCAGCAGATCTGGCATCAGGAAGGCCTCATGGGAGGAGGCAGTGTTTGGGCCCGGCTCTGAAGAGCACAGGCCATCGGGAGCAGGGAATGGGGAGTGGTATTCCAGGCAAAAGGAACATTCCGGGCAAGGGTACAGAACAGGAATGTGAGTTTGGGGGCAGTTCACAGGGGAGGACCTGGTGAACTTCACTCAGGGAGAGGTAAGGGCCCCACTCTGCAGTCACCACTCAGATGCGCCCAGCCTCAGGTGGCCACTGTGCCATGGACATCATGTGGACATGGGCACCAGCTCCAGCATCACTGGCAGCAGACACTCCCGGGCCTGCCATGGTCCAGGGCCCTGGCGTCCTGCCCTCCAGGAGTCATCAGGCTGGCGGGGCAAGTTCATGTTCCCAGAAGGAGGGAGAAGGATGCAGGAAGTCGGGGATACAGGGCCCTAGAGCAGGGCTGGGGTCTTGGGGTGTGGTTTCCAGAAGGAAGTTAGAGCTGGACCCAAGGGTCTGGAGAGGGAGAACCATGTAGGGGCACTAGTGGCACCCCAGTAGCTGGTGAGGGGCAGTGCTTGGTGGGGGATGGAGTCGGAGGTGAAACAGCTGCTGGGGCCTGTGGGCAGAGGTGTGAGCCTGGGGCTCAGATCAGGTGCCAGCCAGAGGCAGAGTGGATCCTAGGAGCAGATGAGCTGATGAAAGGCAGCTGAGTCGGCCAAAAGGGGGAAGCCACTGTTCATCTGTCCTGGTGGCTTCAGAGAAGAACTAGAGCTCTCAGCCATGGGTAGTGGCAGACTCTCTGTGGTAATTGTGCCATGGGGGCCAGAGCAGTCATTGTTTAAATGAACACCTCTCCCCAAAGGCAGAACGGGAGTTGTTCCATAGCAGGGCAGACTCTTTTGTGGGCCGTCCTGGGCAGGCAGCATACCTGATGCTCCCACCAGGAGGCTGCGTGAGCATCTGGACCCAGCACATGATCACAGTGAGTTCTGGGCAGGGAGTGGTCTTGTGGGACGCAGAGCTGTCTCTGTCATTCAGGAGCCACGGCATGCAGCACTGCCCCAAGTACCTCCAGAGGGGTCCCCCTGCCAGCCCTTGAAAATGGCAGAGCCCACCCCTAGCCCCCTTTTCAAGCTCCCTTGCTTGGGCAAGGACAACCTGAGCCTGGCACTCTCCCTCCTGAGAGGTGCAGATGGTACTCAGCAAGTGCAAAGCCGAGGTTTCTTGGGCCTCTCACATCAGCACCTCCCAGACCTGGGTTCTGTATTTCCCCGGAGCTCCACTCCTGCTATGGTGCCCTCCCCACAGTGAGATATTCATCAGGCTGGTGTCTACAGCTGCTGCGTACCCTCAGTTGCTGGGAGCCTTCATCAAGAATGCCGAGGAATGAGGAGGGCACGGGACCAGACCATCAGCAACCCTCTTGCGCTCTATAGTCCCACGTTACTCAGAGCTTCCCCATGCCCTAGCAAGATGAAGGACTAGATTGAATGGGCACCAGGGGGCCAGGCTGGCAGTGCCACCCAGGAAAGCCGGGAAGAGGCTCCATGGGCTACCTGGCCCACTCAGGGAGGAGGGCAGAACTGGGTATTGTCTTGACAGCAGCCCTGTCCCACAACACCGAACGGGGCAGGGAAGGGGTCAGGTGTCCTCATTTTTCAGATAAGAAAACTGAAGCTCCTGGAGGGCAGGTACCTGTATGCAGAGCACATGGCAAGTAAGAGGCAACACTTCTGCTGGCAAGTCCAGGATTTCTGGCACCAGAGGACACTGCTTGCTCCCCAGAGCTCGGGACCCTGTGTTTTGTCTCACTCCCACTCCTGGAGGCCGAGGTGGGAGGATCACTTGAGCCCAGGAGTTCGAGACCAGCCTGGGCAACATAGGGAGACCTTGTCTCCACACAAAAATTTTACAAGTAGCTGGGCTTGGTGGTGGCACGTGCCTGTAGTCCTAGCTACGCAAGAGGCTGACATTGGAGGATCACTTTCAGCCCAGGAGATGGAGGCTGCAGTGAGCAGTCATCACTGTACTCCAGCCTGGTGACAGAGCGAGACCCTATCAGTGCCCCCTTCCGAAAAGAAAACTGAGTAAACAGGTGTCTTCTTGGCGTGATAGGTCCTAAGTCCGCTCCCAGATCTGTGACATTTGACAGGTGTCTTTTCCTCTGGACCTCAGTGTCCCCATCTGAGTGAGAAAAGGCAGTGGGGAGGTGGATCTTCCAGTCGAAGCGGTATAGAAGCCCGTGTGAAAAGCCTTACTCCAAGGGGCTCCAAGTCCAGCACACAGTCCCAGTAGGGCAGCACAGGCATCAGGTCCCGACCTTCTTTCCTGTTTGTCCACTCTCAGACCACGGAGTTCATCATCTCGGAGCCACTGGCCAATATGTACTCGCGTGGGAACCAGAACACACTGATGGAGGAGTGGGCAGAGTAGGCACAGTGGCACGACGAGATGCTGCGCATGCACCACGTGCTGAAGGAGGCGCTCAGCATCATCAGTGACACCACCAGGACCACCGTCAGCATGCCCATGCCCCTGCCCGCGGACGACACCTGGGTGCAGGTGCAGAGCATCTCTGAGGAACAAAGGTGCCAGGGCCTGCCCCCCACAGCCCCAAAGTACCCCCCGCCCGGGCCGCACAGAGGGATGCCCCTGCATCGGGGTGGCTCCCACCTGGAGTGAGGGGTGGAGCTTGCCAAGGAGCACTGGCTGCGGGGCGGGGTGGAGCTGGGATGTTCTCACCACTGGGGTCTGGGCTTAAGCTTGGGCGACTGCCTCGGGGCACGGCAGGGAGGAGCTTCCGTGCATGGGTGTGGCCGGGGCGGGGCCTCAGGGGGGCAGAGCCACCCATCTCTCCCCTCCCTATGCCTTGCAGGTCGCCCAAGTCCAGCCCCAGGATGCCCAGACCCCACCATGTCCCTAGCCCGGCCTGGGTGGCGGGGCCCAGCTCTTGGGCTTCCTCTTGCCAGGTCCGCCCTTGGGGAAGCGTGCCCCGTACCCTCCAGGCTAGAGGCTTCCCCTGATCCCTTCAGCCCCTACCCCGCCAAGTGCGCTCATGCCCCACGCGGGGTCTCCAAGTGAGTAGGGGCTGAATGCAGCCAAAGAGGCTGCTGGACGGGCGTGGCCGGGAAGGAAATGGGACTGGAGTCCAGAGCATCAGACCTGGCCGCCTCCATCCAAGGCATTGGGACCATGGGTGCCGGAGCCACGTGTGGCTGAGGGCTGGCGGAGCCTGCTCCCCAGGGAGCACTGATTCCTGGAGGTGGTCGTTTTTGAGGGGGCTGTGGGGCTTGTCTTACCTGCCCCCTTCTGTCCAGCACTTGCATGGCACTTCCCTCTATTTTCACTCTTGGCGGCTGCCCACACGTTGCATTTCTCTTCCTTTCTTCTTCTCGCTGTCCTCCATCCTCCATTCTGTCCAACTCCTATCCCAGCCCCTGGGGAGCCTACCTCAGGTCTGAGAGTCTGGGTGTGTGGATTTCCTTCAGCTACCCGGATGTCCCCACAGGCAATCTGATTTTTTCTCCACATCTGGACCCCTCCCCCTCTATCCCTAACCCTGTCTAAACTAATGGCG
Organism: Homo sapiens; assembly: GCF_000001405.40. Classification (NCBI taxonomy): domain Eukaryota; kingdom Metazoa; phylum Chordata; class Mammalia; order Primates; family Hominidae; genus Homo; species Homo sapiens. The sequence continues at coordinate 84,398,453 of NC_000015.10, read as the reverse complement.
CAGTGGTAGCTGCAAGGGCAGGGATGGGAGTGGCTGAAGCCTACTTCACTCCCAAAGATTTCTAAGGAAAATGGTTCTACTGCATCCTTTGGCTGGGCCTTGTTGACCCGTGACCCTCTTCCAAGAACATTCACTCTGATTTCCAGTGTGCCCTGTTTCCCTTTCCAAATGGCTGGAGAGTGGGGCTGTAGGTCCAGCGCCCATATACAAAAATGAAGCAGGGATTGGGGCTTGCCCTATGACGTGCTGATGACCAAGTTAGATGGGTATAGGCAAGCAGCATAGTATTGGGCAAGATCACTGGACTGGGAGTCCAGAGATGCTGCTTCACCCTGGGGCTTTAAGCAAGTCCCTTTCCCTCCCAGAGCCTCAGCATCCCTTCTATGAAATGACGACATTCTGCCCTTCTCCTAGGATGGCTGTGGGGATCAAGGGAGACAGTGGTCATAGGGATGCTGTGTTAACTGCAGATGCGGCCATAGGAGCACTTTGCTAACTGCCAACATAATTTCACACTTTTCAGGCTATTTGGCACCCAGATCTATGGTGAGGTGTGACATATGGGATGTAAGGTTTGATGCCTGCTCCGACTCCAGTCTTGCTAACACAAATGAAACCTTTGGCAAATCATGACCCTGCCTTGGGTAAAAGGGCAGTCTGGGAGAGTTTCTTCAAGGCAGCCTGGCTTCAATGCAGTCCAGGGCATGACTGAGATAGGCATACGTTGTGAGGAACTGGAGGGTAACTGGGTAAAGAGCTGCAGTGTGGGCAGAGGTGTAGTGTGGGTCACATCAAGGATAGCCACTGGCCAAAGCAGGGAACAGAGACAGAATGAGGAAGAGCTCTGTGGGGAGGGTGGGGCACAGGGTGGAGAACCTTCAAAGTCCAAAGAGTATGACTTGTTGGGATTCAACGCTGTAGGCAGTAGGGAGCCATGGAAGGCTCTTAGGTGGAGAAATGACAGCCGGACATTAGTGAGCAAGCCCTGTCTCCGTGAGCAGCATGGGTGGTCCTCTGAGCACGCCAGGCACGAGTGTGCAGGCAGCTGGTGCAAATGCCTCTGTGTGCGGGTGATCATCTGTGTTGTGACTCTGCCCACGCATGTGCTTCAGTGTGCCGTGTGGCTGCATGCCCCAGATCCACGCGGCACGTGCCGGCCAGTGAGGGTGTTGGGCACCGGGAGGTGGTGGGGAAGGCGACGTATGCGTGTTGTTTGTGGGCATGTGTTAGAGTGTGCATGCGGGCCGTGGGGCCTCACAGCATGTGTGTGCACACTCGGGCATGTGCGTGTGTGTCCCCCACCCCCAGGCCTGCCCATTCCTTCTGAAGCTGCAGACTTGCTCTTTCCTCTTTCTGTCCTTGTGCTGCTGGCTGTCTCACTTTGCTCCCTGTGAGCCACGGGACTCAGTGCCAGTGCTCAAGGTCTCCAAGGCTGAGCCTGGGGGCTCCATGCCCAAGCTGGCAGATGTGGAGCCATCAGAGAGGGCACAGAGCTCATGGTTTATGCTGTGGGGGGCTGGACTCAGGCGGCCAGAGGCCTGGGAACATCATCCTGGGCACGCCGTACCTGTCACGCAGTCTGAGTCATGCTGCCAGGGCAGGTATCCAGCTCCCAGCCTGGGAGTGCCGAGAGCTAAATCCACGGCAGATTAGGGGTGATAGTCAGGGTCCCACGTCCTCTATCTGTCAGCAATCTAGTGGTGATCTAGGATAAAAGCCTGAGAGTCCTATACACATGGTTATCCCACAACACACTTCATAGGCCATGCAAGGACACACAGCCCCCTTCCCTCCCTCCCAGGTACCATCATAGCTGCTAGCGTGTGACTGAAGGCAGGGTCCCTGGCCCCTGCTGAAGCACTACTGCTGGCCAGCAGGCTCACGCACCTTGGCCTGTTGCTTCTAGGGGTCGCCTGTGATATTCAGCCAAGGGGCCCACAATGTATGCTGGCCTAGCTGAGCTCCGCCTAGACAGCTCACTTCCCTTTACTGCCACAGAGTCTCCCTCTTCTACTTTTCCCAGCAGGAAGGGCCCAGCCTCACCTATGCAACCTGCAGCCCTCCACCAACCAGTTGAGGCTCCCCTGTTAGACTTAGAAGTCTATGGCCAATGGCATCCAGCTACCTGCCCTTCCTGCCTTCCCCAGGGTCCCTCAGAGGACCCTGGGCTTTCAGACAGCCCAGAGGGGCCTCTGGCATTCACTCCAGCCAGCCATCCCTTATAGCTTCACCATTTTGGTTCAAGCAGTGTTCCTTCTGTCAGGCTTGGTGGCTGTTGGGTGGGGCTCCCCAAGCAAGAGGTGGCCCTGGGCCAGTGCGTTGGAAGACGGTGACCAGAGAAGCGGAAGCCTGAGGGGGTTGAGCATTGGTCTGAACTGTGGGTGGACTGCCTGGGTGCCGTGGGAGAGGCCAGTGTGTGTGGGGTGGGGAGGGCTGCCACAGCCCCCAGGCACTCCAGCTTCTCCCTCCATCTTCCTCCCCTTTCCCTTCCAGCCCCTTTACCAGGAACCTTGCCATGCCCACACCTACGCCCTCCCCTCCCCGGCTCTTAGATGATGGTGGTGTTTATCTCCCTGTTCTCGGCAGCCCAAAAAGAATGGCATGCAGGGGTTGCTGCCCATGCCTGGGTGCTCCTGGGGAGTCCTGCATTACAGGAAGCAGCTGCTGGATCTGCTGTGCAGTGGGGTTGTCATGGGGAGAACCCTCCCTGTCCTCTCCTGGTACAGCCTCCATGCTATCAGTGAGGCTCACCTCACAAAGATCTTCAGAGAGAGAGAGAGAGAGGGGGGTGGGAATCTGAGCACAGTTCGATCCTCCCCTGCTCCTGCCTGCCCACCCCGCCTGAGGGCTCTACTCCCCACCCTGCTTGTCCGCACACCCAAGCTCCCGGGCGATTGGGGCTCCTAGAGTGGGCTCATCAGCAGGGTTCTGGGCAATGGTCAAAATTTGCCATGCCCCTCCTTGTGGTCGCCCACAAGCTGCAACACCTGCCCCGCAGCTCCTGCAGGTTCACCTGGAGGAAGGGGTGTTAGCTGCCATGCCGGTGCCGGCACGCACGTTCACCCCCACCCCCACCCCCACCGAGATGTTGCACACCCTACCTTCATCTCCTCCTGGTCCTGGGCCAGCCTGACGATGTCCTCCTCTCCCAGTGCTGCGTCTCTGACACTGCCCCCTGGCTGATGTACTTTCCTGCAGGAGGACATGGCTCAGATGCTGGGGCCCCTCGGATGGCCTGGCAGCTCCCCCCAGCGGTGCCCTAGCCTCTCGCTCACTATGGTGTCTGTCTGTCCTGAGAGGTGGATGAATTGAAGCTCCAGTTTCTCCACTCGCTCCTTCAGGTCCACCTTCTCCTTCCATAAAGTCGCTGTGGAGCCAAAATAATGGGGTCACATGTCAGGAGTCACCTGCCTTGTCCCGACCCCACCCTTGTTGGCCCATGCCAGGACTACTCACCTGCAGCTTCTCCATGGCCCCCTGCAGGGCCTGGTGGGTCTCCCCACACACAGATTCACCCCCAGTCTCTGGGGCTGGGGCCGCTACCTCTGGCTTTTTCTGGGACGAGGCCACTGGGTGAGCCAGGGGCTGGCAGCACACCCTTTGCTCCTCCTGGGCATTGGCTCCAGCGGAGTTGAAAAATGCCACCTGAAGGCAAGAGGTGAGTATTCTTGTAGGGGTATACACATAACAACCGGGGCAGGGAGATGGAGCATAGCCCCCTCCTTTCGGGCCTCACAGAGTGCACCTGTTGGTCACAGGTGAAATGGTGTCTGACCACTGGCTCCCAGGAGGAGTGAAAGTCCACAGAAGTCAGAAGGCGGGGAAACCAAGAACATAAGGGGGTTTCGGAGGGACCACAGAGGAAGGTGGCAAAGTAGGGGCAGGGAAAGTCAGGCTCACCATGGCCTCCCGGCTCTCCAGGTCCCCTGGGATGTTCGGCATGGGCCGAGGCGCCTCCTGCTCACTGTCCAGATGTCCTCCTCCATCTCCTGTGGGGGGTGGCCAGAGGGGTCCTCAGACAACCCAACAAGGGAGGTACAGTGGGCCCGCCTCTGCCCCCACACTCACTGTGTAACCTTGAGCCAGCCCCTCCCCAGAGGGGAATGAGCTGTTCTTTATTTTGAATTTTAAGAACCAAGATCTTGCTATATTGCCCAGGCACAGTCCCACTACCGATTGGTGCAGGAATTCTGACCTGCTCCCTTTCTGACCTGGGCCAGTTCTCCCATCCTTAGGCAAGCCGATGACCTGTTCCCAGGAGGTCACCATACTGATACCGAACTTAGTGCGGACACCCAGTTGGCATAATGACCAGCTGTCTTAAAGGTCTCTTCCAACTCCTCAATCCTACGCTGCTAACAGTCCCCCTTTCCTCCTGGGGCTCTCTCCTCTTCCTCTGAGTAGTCTCCCATACCTTCCCCAGGGAGAGCCATGAGGCTCAACTGGGCTTTAGCTGCTGTTTCTACTGGCTGGTAGCTTCCAGGTTCTCCTAAGGGGCCAGGAAAGAGGGTGAGAAGGTACAGAGGTTGCCAGGTTGTCCCTCTTGGAGCCCTGTCCTCAACAACTCCCTCCCCTGGGTCTCCTGCAACATTTGGCGGGCCCTCTTAGCCACCGATTTGCCCCGAGCTTCCTCCTGCTGCAGCTGGTCCATGAGCCAGGTCTGCAGCAGTAACTGCCTGTGCAGCGCCTCCTTCTCAGAGGCCAGCTGCTGACAAGCAGCCACCTGCTACTAAGCAACCACGAACTGCTGCAGGTGACACAGGTACTGGTCTTGCTGCTGCTGCTGACTCTGAGCCTCTTGGCTCTTCAGCTCCACGTGCAGGAAAACCCTGGGCATGAGGGCATGTGGTGGCTGGCTTCCAGATTCCTGGCCCATTAATAGGGTAGCGAGGGCACTGTGGGGCTCTGTGGCCTGCCCAGGCCCCTGGCCCCTTGCTCCAGGCGTACAAGACTGCCTCCTTTGCCTAGAACCACATGCCTCCTTCCACAGCCTCAAATCTCATGTCCTTTTTCCCAGCATTTAAACTGTAGGCCACAGACTGGTGGAAAAGCAGGGGCAGCCAACCACCATCTGCTAAGTGTGCCACATACCTAATGTTTCCAAGTATTATCTCATTTAATCCTCAGCACCTCTGCAAGGAAAAGGCTAACTTCCTTTTGAAGTTAAACAGAGACTTAGAGATGCAAAGTAGTTGAATTATGACCAGTGGAACCGAGGCCGGAATCCAGTATGAATCTAAGGAGTCTTTTTTGTTTTTCTATTTTGTTTTAAGAGAGTGTCACTCTGTGTCTCAGGCTAGAATGCAGTGGTGCAATCTCAGCTCACTGCAACCTTCACCTCCCAGGCTCAAGTGATTCTCGTGTCTCAGCCTCCTGAGTAGCTGGGATTACAGGCATACACCACCAGGCCCGGCTAATTATTTTTTTTTTTTTAATTTTAGTAGAGATGAGGTTTTGCCATGTTGGCCACGCTGATCTCAAACTCCTGACCTCAAGTGATTGTCCCACCTCAGCCTCCCAAAGTGCTGGGATTACAGGCGTGAGCCACCACACCCCACCAAGGAGCCTCTTATACCACTGTCTCTTCCTCTGTGATTGGGGGGGCTCCATGCCTCTAGCTGGGATGATGATGTCCAGACCTGGGAGGAGCCCAGGGCTACCCACCTCTAAACATCAGAGGGCAGGAAGCAAGAAACAGTCATAGGACTGCCCTGGAGGGTGCTGGGGTCACCTGCCCTCAGGCTGCAGCTGCCTCTGTCCTGGCACCTCCCCTTCCCAGAGGCTGGTGACTGCCTCCCAGCCATTATTGGATGGGTCACAGGTTACCGTCTCTTTCAGCTCACCAAGCTTCAGCTCCTTTACTTGCTGCTCCAACTGCAGTGCACTCTTGTTCTCATTATTCTGGACAGAGAGAAGCAATCAGTGGCCACCCACTAAAACTGGAGACCCCAGAACTTGGTGTCTGCCTCCCATGGCACCGGGAAGGGTGGAGGCAGGTTAGAAAAATATCCCCTTTCTCCCACAGCCATCAGAGCAGGACTCTGGCTCACAGGTGCCTTTAGAAGTACCATTTCATGTGAAGGCTACAATGCCCCATTTTACAGGTGGGGAAACAAAGGCCTTGAGGGCTAGGGAAGAGGGCAGCCTCCCCAGGTGGGGCAACGCACCAGCTCCTCGAAGCCGCTGTGGGGCTCGGCCCGCTGCTTGTAGAGGGCTTCCCACCCCAACTCCAGCATCCTCTCCAGCTCCCGTAGAGTCTCCTGCTGCCACAGCCTCTCATCCTGCTCCCGAAAACCTCTCCTGTTCCAGCAGCTCCTCCACCTTGTCCAGCAGCCTCTCCTGTTCCTCCTGCCACCCCTCCTGTTCCTGCAGCCTCTCCTCCTGTCTCCTGTTCAGGAGACTCAACATCTGATTGTTTTCCACCTCAGCCTGGAGCTGTCTTCCCACACTCTCCAGCTCCTTCCTTAGGTGGTTGGTCTCATCTTGGAGCTGCTCCACCTTAGAGGGCCGTGCTGGGGGCTCTGGGGCCAGGGGTTCAGCTGAGAAAGGAAGCAGACAATAAGGGCCTCTGGATAAAAAAAAAAAAAAAAAAAAAATCCTCCCTTCGGTGCACAGCTCCTCCTCTCAGGCTTCCCAAACTTGGCCTCACTGCTAATGACTCCTCACACCCGGATGGTAGCCAATCTTCCAAGTCACTTTCAGATAGCACTGTGGGTGGCTGACAACGGGCACTCCTCCCTCTTTACTGAGAGGGACACTGAGGCTCATGGAGATGACAAGACTTGCCATCTCCTGGCACAGACCTCTTTCCCTCTGCCTCAAAGCCCTTCCATCTACCCACCTCCCCGGGGCATTCTAAGTCACCCTCACAGCCCTCTGATGCCAGTCCTGCTCCTAGGTCATGGCAGCCCCATCTTACCCGTCTGGTTTTTGAGTTTGAACAAGTTCCTCCCAAGCTTCTGTACCTGATGTATCTCATGCTTCTCCTCTTTCAATGTGTGAACCTGCCTAAAGCAGAGGGGAAAGGGCCCTGCAGAGAGGGGCTGCTGAACCTCTAGAGACAGAGTTTGAGAAAGGCCCACCCCCCTTCTGCCAGCTTACGATTGAGAAAGGTGCATTCACTCAACAAACATTTACTGAGCACGTACAGGCCAGGTACAGTTCTTCATAGCAGAGATATAAGACAGCAAAGGACAGACAGGAGCCCTTGGTCCTGAGGTTTCCATTCTAGGAGCCTTTAAATCTCTGAGCTAACAGTGACCTTTGATACTCTCTACCTCCTCCAGAAACACGAGCCTAAGGAGGAGAGATGGCTTGTCCAGACTCAAAAAGCAAATTAGGGACTGAGGCAGGGCAGAAATACGGGCCCCTGAAAACCAGTCAGGCTAGTGCTTTCCTGAGAGGTGACAACCCCAGGGCATGTGTGGCAAGGACTAGAGCAGGGGTGTCTGGAGAAGAGAGAGTCAGCAAAGAGGGCAGTGCAGAAGAGCCATGCTGCATGTTCTGTGCTCTGGGGTCCCTCCAGGTGAGACCTGGGTGCCCAGCTCCCCATTTGCCCTTGGCATCAGGGGCTCCTAGCCCCTTTCTTCAGGGCCCCAAGAGGAAACTGGAGTCCAGGATTCACAGGCTGGAATCAGGGGACCCCACTGGACTCTTACCAGTGAATTGATGTTTTCAGTGAGTTGACTGATTATTGTGGAGCTTGAATCCAGGGCCACTGCTAGTTCTTGGTACTGGCTCTGAGGTGCATGCAGAGAGGAGGAGTTGGAGGAAGATTGTGGGGAGGGGTAGAGAGAATAATCATTAGGGCTGGTGGGGGTGTGTGGGCTGCCTCAGCTGGCAGAGGGGCAACAAGCCCCTGCTGTGGGAGGAGGTTGGAGGGCTAGCCTGCAGGGTCACTGCACCTCGGCCCAGGGCCTCTTACCTCCAGATCCTCCAGGGTAGCAGATGATGCACGGCCCTCCCCGTAGATACCTGTTGCTGACTGCAAACGATGAGAGTGCACATGGAGATGTCCTGTCCCCCCTCACTGTCTAAGCCCTCTGATTTCCTTTCTTCCCCATCAACTGGCAAAAGCTTCTTTTCTGCCTATCTTGGACCCTTTTTCCCATAACTCCTTTGTGCCAACTTCTCTCATGGTTCTTATCTCCCCACCATCCCACCCTGGGGCCCTTTCAGTGACTCCTAAAGGGACAGCCTGATGGCAAGTGGCTCTTCTCATTGGCCTGGCTTCCCCTTGAGACTGGGGATGAGGAAAATCAAACAACAACCATTTCCTGGGTGTCCTGGGTGTTTGCAGCAGGCCATGTACTAAGGATTCACATAAAAGCAACAATAACGAATCTCATTTACACTTCACAAATGGAAGTCAAAAAATACCACCTCTATTATGGAGATGTGAAAAGAGAGACCCAAAGACCTCAAACAACTTACCCTAAATCATAGGCTAATCAATCCCTAATCAATCCTTAGCAGACGGAGAGGCAGGATTCAAACCCAGAATTCTTAACCAGTACCCAACAGTCCATCTACAATCTTAACAATTACCCTCTACTGCCCCTTGGGCCCCCTGTCCCCAGGACCCTGGCCAGCCAAGACTCACATCCCCAGGTGAGTGGTAACCACCAGAAGTGGCTGTGTCAGGGCTACTGCCATTGATTTTCTTTTTCCTGTTAGCTCCTTCTGGAATGCCAGGGCTCTTCCTCTGCCAATATTCTTTTAACTGTGGGAAAGAAGAGTAGTAACACTCATGAGAACAATCAGCCCCTATAGCCACATCCTCCTTTACAGTTTTGACAAAATACTCTTATACACCATCTGGTTTAATGCCACCAACAACTGTACAAGGTGTTGTCACAATCAGTTAGTGACTGAGAGGGATTGATATCATGGATAGAAAAAAAAAAAGGAGGAAAGAAAAAGGCAATACTGGAACTTAAACTCAGTCTTCTGACTCCAAGCTCTGGGGTTTTGCCATGAATCAGCAGCTTCCAGGGACCAAAACCAGGGACAGAGGTAGAAAAGTAAACATTAAGCAGGCAGGAACTGTAGGCCGTGTGGTTTAGAGTCATACATCCTCACAGGTCTGTTAGCGTGAAGAAGCGTACCAGTACCTCTCACTTTCATATCAATGTGTCCTCATGGCAGAAGGCAGCTTTTCTGTTAAATCTGGGAATTTATCAGAAAGAGGACAACCCAAGCCTCATTTTAGAGAGAAGTCTGCTATACACTTGGAAATCTATGTGTCTATCATCCCTAAGGACATTAATGTTTATTAAACTCTCAATAAACAGTAATGTTCTTAGGGATGATAGACACAGAAGTTTCCAAGCGTATACCAGACTTCTCTCTGAAATGAGGCAAAAGCAATGGCAACAAAAGCCAAAATTGACAAATGGGATCTAATTAAACTAAAGAGCTTCTGCACAGCAAAAGAAACTACCATCAGAGTGAACAGGCAACCTACAAAATGGGAGAAAATTTTCGCAACCTACTCATCTGACAAAGGGCTAATATCCAGAATCTACAATGAACTCAAACAAATTTACAAGAAAAAAACAACCCCATCAAAAAATGGGTGAAGGACATGAACAGACACTTCTCAAAAGAAGACATTTATGCAGCCAGAAAACACATGAAAAAATGCTCACCATCACTGGCCGTCAGGGAAATGCAAATCAAAACCACAATGAGATACCATCTCATACCAGTTAGAATGCCAATCATTAAAAAGTCAGGAAACAACAGGTGCTGGAGAGGATGTGGAGAAATAGGAACACTTTTACACTGTTGGTGGGACTGTAAACTAGTTCAACCATTGTGGAAGTCAGTGTGGCGATTCCTCAGGGATCTAGAACTAGAAATACCATTTGACCCAGCCATCCCATTACTGGGTATATACCCAAAGGACTATAAATCATGCTGCTATAAAGACACATGCAACAAGTATGTTTACTGCAGCACTATTCACAATAGCAAAGACTTGGAACCAATCCAAATGTCCAACAATGATAGACTGGATTGAGACAATGTGGCACATATACACCATGGAATACTATGCAGCCATAAAAAAGGATGAGTTCATGTCCTTTGTAGGGACATGGATGAAATTGGAATCATCATTCTCAGTAAACTATCGCAAGAACAAAAAACCAAACACAGTATATTCTCACTCATAGGTGGGAATTGAACAATGAGAACACAGGGACACAGGAAGGGGAACATCACACTCTGGGGACTGTTGTGAGGTTGGGGGAGGGGGTAGGGATAGCATTAGGAGATATACCTAATGCTAAATGACGAGTTAATGAGTGCAGCGCACCAGCATGGCACATATATACATATGTAACTAACCTGCACATTGTGCACATGTACCCTAAAAGTATAATAATAATAAAATTTTAAAAAAAGAACATTAATGTTTTTTCTCAAGAGAATCAAGGGAAAATGATGCTTCAGAAAGATGTCCCACATTTATCCTGTGACACTCAAAGTACCCCAGGTTGAGATGATATGAGGAAGATTCAAGCTCTCAAGTTCAGTTTCCCAAGATCTATTCCACAGAAGATGGGCAAATCTCACCTCAGAGACCACTGACTGAAGGGCAGTCTGGTCCCAGAACTGTGGAGAACTCGGAAAAAAATGTCAAAGTCTCTGGAAAGTAGAAGCCTGTGAGAAAACCAAACCTTACCCATTCTCCCATTGCCACCCAGAGATACTGTCAACATTTGGAGCTCACAGGGGAAGTGTAAGCTTTTCCCACTGTCAATTAGACATTGTTAAGGGAGTAAGGCAGCCTGAAACTTCTTGCTCATAGGTCCCATAGTCCCCACTCCCCTTCCATCTGGCAATTTGTGCTGCAACCAGAGGAACCAGAAATGGAGTGAGAAAACTTAGGGGACTGGGTTGTAAGATCAAAGGCTGGTCTTGCAGCAGTAATGACAGTTCCTAGGGGCACTGTGACATCACTGCATTCCACTCCTCCCAGGGGAGGGGACATCAGTGCGATGCCAGAGTCACCGCTCCATGTTGTGGGAGGGAAATACAGGGTTTTGACCCAGGTCCTCGGAGATGCCAGCCCAAGAAGCCCAGGGAGGTCGAGCTTGTGGCAGCAGGAGGGGAGGGCAGAGTCTGCAGTAGGGAGCCCCAGGAGTCACCAGCCCAAAGTCACCCAGGGATGACTGGCGAGGGTGGGGCCTGGGGCTGGGGGACCCAGGTCCTGGGAGACACAAGCCCAAAGAGCCCACGGAGGTTGGGCTTGGGGCAGCAGAAGGTGAGGGCCAAGTATGGAGCAAGGAGCCCCAGGAGTCACCCGCCCAAAGTCACCCTGGGGTGATTGGCAAGGGCAGGGACTGAGCGGCTTGCTGAAGGGGTGGGGCTGACTGAGAAGACTTTGGTGGGGGGAGCCCAGAGGTGCTGGGGTTGGGGGGCCCAGTCTGGTATGCCTCAGGAGTGGTATGGACTCTGGCACCGGTCTTGTCATCGGAGGGGATCTGTGGCTGGGTTGGGGGCCATGACCTGGTACATTTTACCTTTTGAGATATAGATCATATAAAAATGGAAAATCCATAGCATGCTTGATGATTAATGAAGCAGACTATAGTATCCAGCATTCCAGGAGGATAAAATAATCACAATGATTTCTCTTTTTTGGAAAAATGTTTGTCTTATCCTCCTACATTATTGTTAAGATTTTTTTTAAAACAAGAAACATGTGTAATATCTTTAAAAACACAAAGCTTTTGGGCCGGGTGCAGTGGCTCACGCCTGTAATGCCATCACTTTGGGAGGCTGAGGTGGGTGGATCGCCTGAGGTCAGGAGTTCGAGACCAGCCTGGCCAACATGAAGAAACCCTATCTCTACTAAAAATACAAAAGCTAGCCAGGCGTGGTGGTGGGTGCCTGTAATCCCAGCTATTTGGGAGGCTGAGGCAGGAGAATCACTTGAACCCAGGAGATGGAGGTTGCAGTGAGACAAGCTCATGCCACTGCACTCCAGCCTGGGTGACAGAGCAAGACTCCATCTCAAAAGAAATAAAATAAAATAAAATACAAAATAAGTAAGAACACAAAGCTTTCAATTTAATAAGCACTTAAAGCTCTTTACTGGTTTAAAACAAATACAAGGCCCATTTTTCTAGAATCACCTGGCCTCTCTAAGCCTTGCAAATGAAACTGAATTTCTCACTTGATACCTGGCTATGACTTGCAATCATGAAAACCAAGAATTGTGTTATGTCACTGTGTACTGCTTGTTACCTGAAATCCACACTAGGCTGGGATCAAGGGTTGAATCTTTCATGATTTTCTCCATAACCTGTGTGCTTCTTATCCCAGACTGAACTAAGCTTTTTTCTAGAGTTCTACAATTTACACTTAATAGACAAGAGTGGTTCTCAAAATGTAGTCTATGGACTAGCAGCACCAGCAGCACCTGAGACCTTTTTATAAGTGCAAATTCTCAGGCCCCACCCTGGACCTGGTGAATCAGAACCCTGGAGTAGGGTTCAGCAATCTGTGCTGCAGTAATCCCTCCAAGTGTTCAAGAACCTCTGGCATACAGCAGGTAGTAAAATGTGTTTCCTTCTGTAGGTCCAAAGCCAGGGTTTACCATATGTTCTGCCTTGTTATGAAACAATGACATGCAATTAAAAGACAAGAATCTCCTTCCTACTCGCACCCTCCATCCAATGTGTTTTATTTGTATGAGTTCCATAAGAAAAACAAGCGGCAATCAGAGATTTAGTCTAAAAAGTATGTTTACAAGTGTCCGTTCTCATCCAGCCTGATCTCCTACAAAACCGTTTACATCCTCTTACATCTCAAGTTTTAAAAAAGTATCTTCACAATGTAAGACTCACGCACACTAGCAGTTCTATAATAAAACACCAAGTAGATCAGAATGTCCAACCTTACTAGAGAAGAAAAGTGGAATCATTGGCCATATTTTCAAATTGCATTCAACAGGAAATTTAAGTTTTGAATTTTTTTCACCTTTATACTTCCAAAGTAATAGAATTAAACCAGAATACGCCATTCTTTCAAAGCCTCTAGCCAGGCAAAGTTTTACTGTATTATTTCTTGCTTTCAATGGATATAAAGCAGATTCCTGGTAGGCACATTCTGTATACCTGCAAAGATGCAGAACTAAACAGTTCCATCTGTTCAATATTAAACCAAAAGTCCTGTAGACCTCGGATGGTGAGTGTAATACTTCAGCACTAGCCCAAAACCTCAAATATGAAAAGATACCAAGAACACCACTAGCAAACAAAACTAAACTCTCGGTCAGGAGCAGTAGCTGACACCTGTAATCCCAGCACTTTGGCAAGCCGAGGTGGGAGGATTACTTGAAGTCAGGAGTTCAAGACTAGCCTGGGCAGCATAGAGAATTCATATCTCCACAAAAATTTTTAAACATTAGCTGGGTGTGGTGGCACATAGCTGTAGTCCTAGCTACTTGGCAGGCTGAGGTGGGAAAATTGCTTGAGGCGAGGAGTTCAAGGCTGCAGTAGCTATGATTATGGCACTGCACTCCAGTCTGGGTGACACAGCGAGACTTAGATAATTATATTTTCTCCTGCTCCTGTTTACACTAAAATCACGAAGTTAAAAGGCTTTCAAATTTGGCAGGATAAAAATTAAGTGATGTGTGACTTTGGAGCTTGGCTAGTGAAAGAAAGAAAAAAAAGGAAGGAAGGAGGGAGGGAGGGAACAAAGAAAGAGAAAGAAAGGAAAGGAAGAAAGAGAGGGAAAGAAAGAAAGAGGAAAGAAAGAAGAAAGAGAAAGAGGGATGGAGAGAAAAGAAAAGAAAGCAAGAATAGAAAGCAAGAAAGAAAAGGAAAGCAAGGAAGGAAGAAGAAAGAAACAAGGAAAAGAAAAAGAAAGAAAAAGAAAGAAAGGGAGAGGAAAGGAAAAAGAAAAGAAGGAAGAAAAAATGAAATGACAAATTACTTACTGGGAGAAAGTTTTGTCACCTCAATGACAGATAAAAGGCTTGTATCCTTAGACTATAAAGAAATCTTTAAAATTACTGAGATAAAAAACAAATGATTTTCAACCAAAATGGGCAATGGAGAAACTGGCACTTCTCACAAGAATAAAAATGGCCAATGGCATATACAAAGATTCAAAAGCACAAGAAATCGAAGAAATGTCATGAAAACAATGAGATTTTCTGTATAAAGGCAGGAAAGATGACAAATGGAAAGGGGAACCTGGAGCTCTGTCCTTGTTGGTGGGAGTATAACCGGAGTCACTTTTCCTGGAGAATGATTTGAAAATTTCTATTAAAAACCCTAAAAATTATTTTCCTCCAGAAATTCTACTTCTATGAATTCAGTCCAAAAATGTTTGCTCGAGCCCATTAAAATGAATGTATAAGAAAATTCACCTCTGGGGTGGCAGTGATTAACTTAATATACATCCAGCTATTAAAAATGATGATGCCAGGATATATTTACTGCCACAGAAATATGCCCAAAATATAGTAAGTGACAAAAGACTACATATTGTGATTCTACTTTTTAAAAGGTTTATGTGCAGAAAAACATATAAAAAGCAACAAACCAGAATGTTTTGAGTGGCAAATTTAAGATTTTTCTTAATATTTGTCATCTAAATTATTACAAAAAGAATGATTTCCTTTATAATGAGGGAGAACTGTTATTTTCATTTTTTAATTTAAATCTCTTTTCTTTTTCTGATTTTTTTCTCCTGTATGTATCCCATGTAGGCTAGAATCCCTGCCTCTTGAGGTAAATCAGCCCATTTTTGGGAAGTGCGCTACAGAAAGCTGCCCCAGCTTCCTTTTAAGAGACCTGGAGACATTTTTGTTTCAAATTGTTTTATTGTTCTCAGATTAGCCTAACTGGGAGGCACCCCCCAGTAGGGGCAGACTGACACCTCATACTGCCAGGTACTCCTCTGAGACAAAACTTCCAGAGGAACAATCAGGCAGCAGCATTTGCAGTTCACCAATATCCGCTGTTCTGCAGCCAACGCTGCTGACACCCAGGCAAACAGGGTCTGAAGTGGACCTCCAGTAAACTCCAACAGACCTGCAGCTGAGGGTCCTGACTGTTAGAAGGAAAACTAACAAACAGAAAAGGACATCTACACCAAAAACCCATCTGTACGTCACCATCATCAAAGACCAAAGGTAGATAAAACCACAAAGATGGGGAAAAAACAGAGCAGAAAAACCGGAAACTCCAAAAATCAGAGCGCCTCTTCTCCTCCAAAGGAATGTAGCTCCTCACCAGCAATGGAACAAAGCTGGGTGGAGAATGACTTTGACGAGGTGAGAGAGGAAGGCTTCAGAAGATCAAACTACTCCGAGCTAAAGGAGGAAGTTCGAACCAATGGCAAAGAAGTTAAAAACTTTGAAAAAAAATTAGACAAACGGATAACTAGAATAACCAATGTAGAGAAGTCCTTAAAGGACCTGATGCAGCTGAAAACCATGGCATGAGAACTACGTGATGAATGCACAAGCCTCAGTAGCCAATTCAATCAACTGGAAGAAAAGGTATCAGTGACTGAAGATCAAATGAATGAAATGAAGTGAGAAGAGAAGTTTAGGGAAAAAAGAATAAAAAGAAATGAACAAAGCCTCCAAGAAATATGGGACTATGTGAAAAGACCAAATCTACATCTGATTGGTGTACCTGAAAGTGACGGTGAGAATGGAGGCAAGTTGGAAAACACTCTGCAGGATATTATCCAGGAGAACTTCCCCAATCTAGCAAGGCAGGCTAACATTCAAATTCAGGAAATACAGAGGATGCCACAAAGATACTCCTCAAGAAGAGCAATTCCAAGACACATAATTGTCAGATTCACCAAAGTTAAAATGAAGGAAAAAATGTTAAGGGCAGTCAGAGAGAAAGGTTGGGTTACCCACAAAGGGAAGCCCATCAGACTAACAGCTGATCTCTCTGCAGAAACTCTACAAGCCAGAAGAGAGTGGGGGCCAATATTCAACATTCTTAAAGAAAAGAATTTTCAACCCAGAATTTCATATCCAGCCAAATTAAGCTTCATACATGAAGGAGAAATAAAATACTTTACAGACAAGCAAATGCTGAGAGATTCTGTCACCACCAGGCCTGCCCTAAAAGAGCTCCTGAAGGAAGCACTAAACATAGAAAGGAACAACTGGTACCAGCCAATGCAAAAACATGCCAAATTGTAAAGACCATCGAGGCTAGGAAGAAACTGCATCAACTAATGGGCAAAATAACCAGCTAACATCATAATGACAGGATCAAATTCACACATAACAATATTAACCTTAAATGTAAATGGGCTAAATGCCCCAATTAAAAGACACAGACTGGCAAATTGGATAAAGAGTCAAGACCCATCAGTGTGCTGCATTCAGGAAACCCATCTAACATGCAGAGACACACATACGCTCAAAATAAAGGGATGGAGGAAGATCTACCAAACAAATGGAAAACAAAAAAAAGGCAGGAGTTGCAATCCTAGTCTCTGATAAAACAGACTTTAAACCAACAAAGATCAAAAGAGACAAAGAAGGCCACTACATAATGGTAAAGGAATCAATTCAACAAGAAGAGCTAACTATCCTAAATATATATGCACCCAATACAGGAACACCCAGATTCATAAAGCAAGTCCTTAGAGACCTACAAAGAGACTTAGACCCCCATACAATAATAATGGGAGACTTTAACACCCCACTGTCAACATTAGACAGATCAATGAGACAGAAAGTTAACAAGGATATCCAGGAACTGAACTCAGCTCTGCACCAAGTGGACCTAATAGACATCTACAGAACTCTCCACCCCAAATCAACAGAATATACATTCTTTTCAGCACCACACGTACTCCAAAGTTGACCACATAGTTGGAAGTAAAGCACTCCTCAGCAAATGTAAAGGAATAGAAATTGTAACAAACTGTCTCTCAGACCACAGTGCAATCAAACTAGAACTCAGGATTAAGAAACTCACTCAAAACCACTCAACTACATGGAAACTAAACAACCTGCTCCTGAATGACTACTGGGTACATAACGAAATGAAGGCAGAAATAAAGATGTTCTTTGAAACCAACAAGAACAAAGACAAAACATACCAGAATCTCTGGGACACATTCAAAGCAGTGTGTAGAGGGAAATTTATAGCACTAAATGCCCACAAGAGAAAGCAGGAAAGATCTAAAATTGACACCCTCACATCACAATTAAAAGAACTAGAGAAGCAAGAGCAAACACATTCAAAAGCTAGCAGAAGTCAAGAAATAAGTAAGATCAGAGCAGAACTGAAGGAAATAGAGACACAAAAAAACCCTTCAAAAAATCAATGAATCCAGGAGCTGGTTTTTGGAAAAGATCAACAAAATTGATAGACTGCTAGCAAGACTAATAAAGAAGAAAAGAGAGAAGAATCAAATAGACGCAATAAAAAATGATAAAGGGGATATCACCACCGATCCCACAGAAATACAAACTACCATCAGAGAATACTATAAACATCTCTATGCAAATAAACTAGAAAACCTAGAAGAAATGGATAAATTCCTGGACACATACACCCTCCCAAGACTAAACCAGGAAGAAGTTGAATCTCAGAATAGACCAATAACAGGCTCTGAAATTGAGGCAATAATTAATAGCTTACCAACCAAAAAAAGTCCAGGACCAGACGGATTCAAAGCCGAATTCTACCTGAGGTACAAGAAGGAGCTGGTACCATTCCTTCTGAAACTATTCCAATCAACAGAAAAAGAGGGAATCCTCCTTAACTCATTTTATGAGGCCAGCATCATTCTGATATCAAAGCCTGGCAGAGACACAACCAAAAAAGAGAATTTTAGACCAATATCCTTGATGAATATTGATGCAAAAATCCTCAATAAAATACTGGCAAACTGAGTCCAGCAGCACATCAAAAAGCTTATCCACCATGATCAAGTGGCCTTAATCCCTGGGATGCAAGGCTGGTTCAACATACGCAAATCAATAAACGTAATCCAGCATATAAACAGAACCAATGACAAAAACAACATGATTATCTCAATAGATGCAGAAAAAGCCTTCGACACAATTCAACAACCCTTCATGCTAAAAACTCTCAATAAATTAGGTATTGATGGGACGTATTTCAAAATAATAAGAGCTATCTATGACAAACCCACAGCCAATATCATACTGAATGGGCAAAAACGGGAAGTATTCCCTGTGAAAACTGGCACAAGACAGGGATGCCCTCTCTCACCACTCCTATTCAACATAGTGTTGGAAGTTCTGGCCAGGGCAATCAGGCAGGAGAAGGAAATAAAGGGTATTCAATTAGGAAAAGAGGAAGTCAAATTGTCCCTGTTTGCAGATGACATGATTGTATATTTAGAAAACCCCATTGTCTCAGCCCAAAATCTCCTTAAGCTGATAGGCAACTTCAGCAAACTCTCAGGATACAAAACCAATGTGCAAAAAACACAAGCATTCTTTTACACCAATAAAAGACAAACAGAGAGCCAAATCATGAGTGAACTCCCATTCACAATTGCTTCAAAGAGTATAAAATACCCAGGAATCCAACTTACAAGGGATGTGAAGGACCTCTTCAAGGAGAACTACAAACCACTGCTCAATGAAATAAAAGAGGATACAAACAAATGGAAGAACATTCCATGCTCATGGGTAAGAAGAATCAATATCATGAAAATGGCTATACTGCCCAAGGTAATTTATAGATTCAATGCCATCCCCATCAAGCTACCAATGACTTTCTTCACAGAATTGGAAAAAACTACTTTAAAGTTCATATGGAACCAAAAAAGAGCCTGCATCGCCAAGTCAATCCTAAGCCAAAAGAACAAAGCTGGAGGCATCACACTATGTGACTTCAAACTATACTACAAGGCTACAGTAACCAAAACAGCATGGTACTGGTACCAAAACAGAGATATAGACCAATGGAACAGAATGGAGCCCTCAGAAATAATGCCACTTATCTACAACTATCTGATCTTTGACAAACTTGACAAAAACAAGAAATGGGGAAAGGATTCCCTATTTAAGAAATGGTGCTGGGAAAACTGGCTAGCCATATGTAGAAAGCTGAAACTGGATCCCTTCCTTATACCTTAGACAAAAATTAGTTCAAGTTGGATTAAAGACTTAAATGTTAGACCTAAAACCATAAAAACCCTAGAAGAAAACCTAGGCAATACCATTCAGGACATAGGCATGGGCAAGGACTTCATGTCTAAAACACCAAAAGCAATGGCAACAAAAGCCAAAATTGACACATGGGATCTAATTAAACTAAAGAGCTTCTGCACAGCACAAGAAACTACCATCAGAGTGAACAGGCAACCTACAGAATGGGAGAAAATTTTTGCAATCTACTCATCTGACAAAGGGCTAATATCCAGAATCTACAAAGAACTCAAACAAATGTACAAGAAACAAACAAACAACCCCATCAACAAGTGGGCAAAGGATTTGAACAGACACTTCTCAAAAGAAGACATTTATGCAGCCAAAAGACACATGAAAAAATGCTCATCATCATTGGCCATCAGAGAAATGCAAATGAAAACCACAATGAGATACCCTCTCACACCAGTTAGAATGGCAATCATTAAAAAGTCAGGAAACAACAGGTGCTGGAGAGGATTTGGAGAAATAGGAATGCTTTTACATTGTTGGTGGGGCTGTAAACTAGTTCAACCATTGTGGAAGTCAGTGTGGTGATTCCTCAGGGATCTAGAACTAGAAATACCATTTGACCCAGCCATCCCATTACTGGGTATATACCTAGAGGATTATAAAACATGCTGCTATAAAGACACATGCACACGTATGTTTATTGCAGCGCTATTCGTGATAGCAAAGACTTGGAGCCAACCCAAATGTCCAACAATGATAGAGTGGATTAAGAAAATGTGGCACATACACACCATGGAATACTATGCAGCCATAAAAAATGATGAGTTCATGTCCTTTGTAGGGACATGGATGAAGTTAGAAAGCATCATTCTCAGCAAACTATCGCAAGGACAAAAAACCAAACACCGCATATTCTCACTCATAGGTGGGAATTGAACAATGAGAACACATGGACACAGGAAAGGGAACATCACACACTGGGGCCTGTTGTGGGGTGGGGGGAGTGGGGAGGGATAGCATTAGGAGATATACCTAATTTTAAATGAAGAGTTAATGGGTGCAGCACATCAAAATGACACACGTATACATAAGTAACAAACCTGCACGTTGTGCATATGTACCCTAAAACTTAAAGTATAATAAAAAATAAATTTAAAAAACTTGTGCAATAAAGTCAAACAGCACCCAAAGAAAATGTATACCATTACAGGTTTGTTTAAAAAGCAATTTAAATTACATTGATCCACTAAACTAGAAAAAGCAAAATAAACAAAAAGGGGAAATAATTAAGACATAAGGAAAATGTGAGAAAAAAACTCACTAAATTTAAAAAATAAAACTAAAGGAGGATTCTTTCAAAAGCCTAAGATAATGAAACAGTCACGCCTCTGATAAGTGATCAAGATAAAGAAACCTTTGAAGAGAAAAGGGCATATAGCCACATGTGAATATGATGCAAAAAGTGAAAACTTTACACATCTTTACAACACCTTACAAGTATGGGAGAAGTGTTCATTTCTTTTAAGAATCTACAGTTACGAAAACTAACTGAAGAAATGGAAAATCTGGAGACCAATACGCAGAAGAAGGAAAAAGACAGACTCATCCTCCAAATTGGACATTTATTTAAACCAGGGTTTGTCAGCCTCAGCAATATTGATATCTTGGGCCAGACAATTCTTTGTGAGGGTTCTCCTGGTGTGTTGTGGGACATTTAGTAACATCCCCTCTACCCACGGAATGCCAATAAGACCTCCCGACCGTGACCAGTTGTGACCACAAAAATGTCTCCAGATATTTCCAAATGTCCCATGGGAGGCAAAATATTCCTGCAGTTGAAAACTACTGTGTAAACTAGATCTACATCCTAGGTCTTAGGAAAAAGATGTAAAGCTTCCCGAGTTAGCCCTGCACACCGTTGATACTGAAATGAAATACGAAACTGAAAGGAAACAAACAAAACTATAATCTTATTTAATACAGAAATAAAAATGCAAAAATAAAATATTACCATAGCCATTCTAACAGTGTTTATTATAGGAATGCAAGGATGATTCGAAATTAGGAAAATTTCAT
This sequence comes from Homo sapiens, assembly GCF_000001405.40. Taxonomy (NCBI): domain Eukaryota; kingdom Metazoa; phylum Chordata; class Mammalia; order Primates; family Hominidae; genus Homo; species Homo sapiens. The sequence goes on along the minus strand of NC_000015.10, from coordinate 84,377,230 downwards.
CAGGTAATTCACAAATTATATTTCTCCATAGAATTGTAGGCACAATCATGAAAAACAAGGTAGCTCTATATGCATTAAGTCCACGTGATATTCAGTGAAAAACACAAGTTGCAGATGTCTTACAGAAAAAAACTGAACACTGAACACATATTTCCACCATCTGCTCTTTGTCCTGAGGCTCCACTAGAAATACAGTGAAGAATAAACAATATATAAACACACAATTACAAAAAAAAGAAATGGGGTTACCCACAGAAGAGAATTCACCTCCATTAGAAAATGACAGTAAATGGAAAATGGTTAATTAATGGAGCAAAGCAAAGCAAAGTGGAGGTCAGGGGGACACCGATAACAAGGAAGCTAATTTGTCCCACAGCAACCTGGAAAGGTTCTAGACTCAGACACCAGGTACCCCCGAGAGTGGGACTGACAGGCAAGACTGAAAACAGAGATTAACCAAAAGCCTATATAGAGAACACATTTTCCAGGCCCTGAAACACACTGCTCTCCCCCATCTCCTTAAGCAGAACCCAAGCAAACATATCTACCTCAGACAAGAGAATGTAGATTTCACCTCCAGAGAAATGGAGTAGTTCCAGCCATCATTTATGATTGCACCGGGAGATAAGATAGGGGGGTAGAGGATGACAATTAGGAATCAGCATACATTCCCCCTAAAAGCTATCAGTTGGCAAGTCTTGGCCATGAAGAACTCCCAATTTTTTATTTCTATTTTTATTTATTTTTTTATATATTTATTTATTTATTTATGTTTTTGAGACAGGGTCTTGCTCTTTCACCCAGGCTGGAATGCAGGAATGCAGCAGGATGATCACAGCCCACTTCAGCCTCAACATCCCAGGCTCAAGTGATCCTCCTGCCTCAGCCTGCCAAGTGCTGGGACTACGGGTTGGTGTCACCAGACCTGGCTATTTTTTAAATTTATTTTTTGTGAAGGTGGGGTCTCACTATGTTGCCCCAACTAGTCTTAAGCTCCTGGGCTCAAGTGATCCTCCCACGTCAGTCTCCCAAAGCACTGAAATTGTAGGTATGAGCCACCACGTCCAGCCTCCCAGTCTTTTAGTACCTCTCTCAAATATGAATGAACAAAAAAGGGAATTAAAAAGAACATACAGGCTGGGCACGGTGGCTCATGCCTTTAATCCCAGCACTTTAGAAGGCCAAGGTGGGTGGATCACCTGAGGTCAGGAATTCAAAACCAGCCTGACTAACATGGAGAAACCCTGTCTCTACTAAAAATACAAAAATTAGCCGGGCATGGTGGCACATGCCTGTAAACCCAGCTACTCAGGAGGCTGAGGCAGGAGGATCACTTGAACCCAGGAGGTTGTGGTGAGCCGAGATCACACCACTGCACTCCATCCTGGGTAACAAGTGCAAAACTCCGTCTCAAAAAAAAAAAAAAAAAAAAAGACTACAAATGATAAGCAACATAGAATAGATATTTAAGGAAAGGTTTTAAAAAGAAAAATAAGACCAAAATAAACTAAGAAAAAAATTTATTAAAGAACAAAGAGATGCTAGGGAGAAGACAAAAGAGTATCCAAATCACTTCATAAAGACACTTGTGAATATATTACATGAATAAAACAAAAATAGAATATGAATAAGGAATAATCAGAGAAGAAAAAGTTCTTAGAACTCAGGGTTCATCTTGGGAGTTGGTCCCCAGTGAGCCACACCTCCCAGCATCATGTCCTTGGACAGTCCCATCCCACAGTGAATCTGGGTTGGCCCCAAGATTCACTTTAACCTACAGAATTAGGTAGAAATGACACTGGACCTGTTCCAGGTCTAAGCCTTAAGAACACCTGGCAGCTCCACATCTGCGCTTCTAGTAGCCAAAATAAGTACTGACTAATCTCTCGGGGAAAGAGAAGCCATATGATGAGGCCAGAGAGGAAGGCCACATGAAGAAACACCAAAGCAGGTGACCTGTGGGTGAAGAAGCCGTCTCAGACATTCCACTGCAGCTGAGCATCCAGATGACCAGTGCCTGACACCATCTAACCGCACAGTGAGAGATGCCAAACGAGACCAGCAGAAAAACTGTCCAGCTATCCTCAGTTAACCCATACAGTAGTGACAGGTAGACAAATGTATAGTTTTATGCCATTAAGTTTTGGGAAAATTGGTTAAGCAACAATAAATAACCAAAACAAAACTTAACGTTGATTGTCCAAATAAAATTTCCTAGAAGTCAAAATATAAGAAAAATATTCCAGAACTTAAAATTTTTTTAAAAATTAGAAATAATGTGACATACAAGTCTCAAGACAAGAGGACTAAAATCCAATTAACAGACACTTCAGAATGAACAAATAAAGTGGAAAAGAGAAAGTTAACAAAAATATGACAAGATTCAAGATTCCAACTTTGAAAGAGCCGATCCATAGGCCTATCCATTCGGTATACCCAGCACAGTGAATGAAAAAAGACACACACTAAGTACAATGTTGTGGCTATTTCAGCTCACCAAGGAAAAGACAAACTCCTAAAAGCTTCCAGAGAGAAAGTCATGCATGAATGAGTGAAACTCAGGATGGCATGAGGCTTCACCACCATGACTGGTTAGAAGACAACAGCACAGACTTTGAAATTCTAAGGTAAAATTATCCTCAACCTAGAAATACATAATCAACCAAACTATCAATCAAGTGTGAGGGTAGACTATGACAAAAGTGAATAGTGATGGGGATGGGCTAAGCACCAGGCACTGTTCTAAATGGTTTACATGTACCAACTCATTTAATCCTCATAGCTCCCTAGAAACATAGGTACTAATACTATTACCGGTTCCCCCATTTTGCAAATGGAAATTGATGCATAGAGCAATTAGGGAATCTGCCCAAGGGCATACAGCTAATAAGTAGTAGAACCAAGATTCAAATCTATCTCAGACTGGCTCCAAAACCCAAACACTGGATTGTATTTTTTCAGAAGCCAGAGATCAGAAAATATACCACTCCATGCTTTCTCAGGGTTTTACTTGAGGACATAGTCAGGTAAAATGACAAAGGGAAAAGCCAAGAAAGATGACATGGGATCCAGGAAACAATGGATGTACTCTAGGCGAGCAGATGAGAAAAACCTCAAGATGACATGTGCACAGCCAACCCGAAGAACAACCTGCCAAAATGGGCACAGAGGAGCCAAAGGCTTTGGAAGAGAAGGAGATCTCACAGAAAGGGCTACAACAGAATTTTTTAAATTAAAAATTACTATTATGAGGAAGACACTGCAAAACAAAAAGTTTGAGGGATGGGAGGAAGAAACTGAGATCACAGGGAAAATTGTAAGAGACATTCAGAAGGACAGGTCTTAGAAATTTACTAGTTTGGGGGGGCGGTCAGAGAACAGTTGTATATAAAAGAATATTAAGACAGTTTCCAGGTTTAGGCATATGTGACTAGATAGAGTGCTAGGAGATGGATACGTGAAAATTTAAATACCATCATTTTGAACACCCATGTCACTCCAAGCGAGATTCCCTAACATATATGATATGCAGACAGATATATGGGTTTGAAACTCCGGAGATGAATACAAATTTAGGAGTCCCTGGAACACAGGTCATGACTTAAGTAATGGGAGTCAAAGATTACTCAGAGAAAGCACAGAATGAGAAGAGAAGAAAGAAGTAGGACAAGGAAGAAGAGATCGGAGGAGACCAAGGCAGGGTGATAAGATCAAAACAGGAGAAAAGAATCCGATAGAAGTCTCATTCGATTATCATGTCCCTTCCCAGAGGACAGAGACATGCCTTTTTTGTCTTTTATACCCAATTATCACAGGTCCTGGTGCAGCAGACACACAGTTTTTTTTTTAATTGTGTTGTACTATTCACAGTTTCCTTTATCCACCAGGGGAGAAAAAAGTAAGTATAAAGAAGCACAGACACAGATGTTTTTACACTGTGTACTAAAGGGGTCAGATTATACACAATATTTTATGCCTTACTTTTTTACCTAATATATCTTAGAAGTTTGCACATGCTCTTATGGAAAGACTGGCTGCATTTTTTGGTCCACAACAGAACAACAGAATATTCTATTATAAAATTGTACACTATAATTTTTATTTAACCAACTCTTTATTGGTGGACATTAAGAATGGAGGAATGTTTCAACAAAGGAACAATCAACAGTATCAAAATACTGCAGAGGGGTCAATTTGGGGACTAAGAGGGGAGCCACTGGATTTGACAACTAGGAGATAAATTTTAGTGCAACGATGAAGGCAGAATCCAGATTATAATGAGCTCAGTGAAAAAAGGTGAAGACATGTAGCTTATTCTCTCAAGAAACTAGGCTATGATAAACTGGCAGAGGCTCTAAGAGTGGGAGGTGAGTTGTTTTCTCCTTCATGTAAATATATTTACTTTTTTAAACACTAGGCCCAGTTTTATATCCTACTTCATTTAACTTTATGAACATACTTATGTATGTATGCATGTATGTATGTCATGTAATGTTTTAGACACTGAAAAATAACTCATTTCTGCTATTATAAAACTGGTATCTTTAGATGTTCAGATGCAACTTCCTAAAAGGAGGTAGCAGTAATGGAGCTATGTCTATCAGTCTTTCCCATCAACCCCCTTGCTGGAGATGTAAACATGTGTCCATCAAGCCTTTAATTTTTACCTCTTATCTTCATGGCTCTCCACACAAAACTTAACTCTTTTTTTTTCTATTTGTATATGTATATTTACATGTATATGTATATTTATATGTATATGTATATCGAGAGAGAGAGAGAGAGAGAAAGAGTCTTGCTATGTTTCCCAGGCTGATCTCAAACTCCTGGGCTCAAGCAATCCTCCCACCTTGGCCTCGCAAAGTGCTGGGATTACAGGCATGAACCACTGTGCCCAGCTGCAGCCTGAACTCTTAAAATATCTTCAAACCAATATTCTTCTGTTCTAATTTTTAAGAATAGATGTGTTTAAACCAACTGTAACTTATTTTGACAAAAATTGGAGTTAAGACTCAGACTTCCTCAAATAGTTCTCCTAAAACCATTTACAGAATAATCTCTCTTTTCAGTATTAAGTTAAAATACCACCTCTTCCTTACACTAAATTCTCATTTGCATGACTCTGGTTCTAAACTTCCATTGACTTTATCTGTCTGGCCCAGGGCTAGTCCACAATATTTTATTTAATATCTGGTTGAAAGAGTCTATACTTTATTAATTTTTATTATTTATTCTTCTAAACTAACTTTAGAGTCGTTTTTGTCAAGTGTCAAAAATAAATCTGCTGGAATTTGTGCTGAAATTTGTGTATATATATATACACACTATATATGATATAAAATGTATATATACAATTTATATATATATATAATATGAAATGTATATATACAATTTATATATAAATATATATATAATATGAAATGTATATACATATATATATATATACACACACACACACACACACACACACACTTTTTTTCTGCTTTTTTTTTTTTTTTTTTTTGAGACAGGGTCTCACTCTGTCACCTAGGCTGGAGTTCACAGGCATGATCTCGGCTCACTGCAACCTCTGCCTCCCAGGCTCAAGTGATCCTCCCACCTCAGCCTCATAAGTAGTTGGAACTACAAGTGTGTGCCACAGACACCCAGCTAATTGTCATCTACCTGCCTCAGCTTTCCAAACTTTTGGGATTACAGGTATGAGCCACTGTGCCCAGCAGAAATTACATTTACAAATTAATATGAAGACATGGTGATAACTAACATATTTATAACATGAAATCTGCTCATCCAGGAACATAGAATGCAAATCTTTCATTCCACTCAGCAAAATTTTGTCCTGTCCTTGATAAAAGTCCTGCACATCTAAGTTTATTCCTAGGTATTTAATTTTTGCTGAAATACCTGAAAAAATACTTCATCACTATATCTTCTATGTGATTATAAATAACATTTAGGAAGGCTATTGATTTTTATATAAAAGAGCTTTTAACCAGTAATCTTAAAAATTGTTTTTTTCAGTTGGTTCCTTTGGATATTTTTAGGTAAACAATCATGTCAACTGAAAATAATGATTGTTATTTTTCTATATAGACTACGACATCATGGGAAAATACAGTAAATACTTTTTAAAAGAATATAAAAGGGCTGGGCACAGTGGCTCACGCCTGTAATCCCAACACTTTGGGAGGCTGAGGCGGGAGGATCACGAGGTCAGGAGATTGAGACCATCGTGGCTAACATGGTGAAACCCCATCTCTACTAAAAAATACAAAAAATTAGCCAGGCATGGTGGTGGGCACCTGTAGTCCCAGCTACTGGGGAGGCTGAGGCAGTAGAATGGTGTGAACCTGGGAGGGGGAGCTTACAGTGAGCCGAGATTATGCCACTGCACTCCAGTCTGGGTGACAGAGCAAGACTGTCTCAAAAAAAAAAAAAAAGAAAAGAATATAAAACTATAGAGAATACGACCTCAACTATTTAAACATATGTATAAGGGTTATGTATTTTACTAGCAAAGAAAAAATATATACTGGTAGAAAATGGCCATCATGTCAACTGTCAATAGTGGTTATATTAGGTAGAGAATTTATGGGAGACTAATTTTTTTCTTTTTGCTTTTCTGTACTTTACTAATTTTCTCAACAATGGTTGCTTGTGAGTTTTATAATAAAAAAAGTTTTAAAAATTTTTCCAACATGGAAAGTTATATTTCTTTATAAACTAAGAACAAAAACAAAACTTCCTATTTGAATACATTTGACTTTTACTGCAGACTTACAGACCCTTGAAAGAAAAGGCAATTCCCTCCCAGTAGTTTTGGTGTCATTCTCCCCATCTCTCCCTTCACTTCCACCTTGGTCTTCTTTCTACTTCCCACCTTGGCTAGTGGTCTCCACCCAAAATGCTTGCTTGGCTTAATGGTTAGAATTCAGGGAAAAAGAGATCCCAAATTGCTAATCTAAACTAAGGTTATACATGTGGGAAATAATAAAGAGAAACCAGGTAGTAAATAAGATTTGGAGGACTTAAAATACCCAGACTTTAATTCCTCTAAGTTTATAGTTATTAATCATGTTTTTTATCATATTATCTCTTAACATTTAATTTCTAAATATAATGTTTATAAGGAAAAGAGAAAACAGCTTGGCTTCTTTCCTCACCGAATTGTTGTTCTTAGCATCTTCTAGACATTCCAAAACTGATGTCAGATTTGGCTCATCAGAGTCCACAAACCATATCGGTGAAGAAGATGAATAGGATTCCTGTTTAACCCAGAGACACCTATGTTAAATGTTTACATACAGACTAACCCAAATATGCAATTAAACCACACCACTAAATGGCAAGATGACCATGGATTTAAACAAAATGTATGGGGGAAAAGGCAACACGTTTAAACCCATGTGAGGAGCTGGACTTCTGAGACAGCCATTCTCCTTGCATAGCACTGTCTGCTGCTACAGCTCATAGAAGTCAACAATTTTCTTCAACACTGGTAGGCAGCCTCTAAACGGCCCTGATCACCCTCACCTCCTGCCATTCACACCCTTGTAAAATTCCACCCCTGGACCTAGTGACTCACTTCTAACAAAGAGAATACAGCAAAAGTAACATCGCTTCTGAGGTGAGGCTACAAGGAGACTACGATGCCTGCCTTGGTCACCCTTCTCCTGCTCTTTCCATTGCTCCCTCTGATGGAAGCCAGTTGCCATGTGATGAGGTGCCCTATGGAGAGGCCCACGTGACAAGGTATTGTAAAAGGCCTCTGACCAATAGCCATCTAGAAACGGAGGCCCAGTCCAGCAGCCTCTGAGATGAATCCTGCCAACCTGAGCTTGGAGACAGATTCTCTCCCTATCCTGCCTTGGGATGATCACAGCCACCACCAACACCTTCACTGCCTGGTGAGAGGCCAAGCCAGTGAACCCAAGGTAAACTGGACAGAATCCTGACCCACAGAAACTGTGAGATAATGTTTGTTGTTTTAAGCTGCTCAATTTGTTACAGAGCAATAGATAACTAATTCAAACACCATAAAATTCGTACATTTTATTCTATCACACAAACCAAGTAATACGAATAAATGCATTATACATATATTTTTGGGACACAATTACATGTGATTTTTTAAAAAGCTAATGAACTAAGCATTATGCACTTTCACCCACTAATAGACATTTACTCTGTTGCATTGTACTGTCTTCTATTAGAAATTGGCGAAAAGCAATTGTTATTATATATTAGCTTCAGAAGAACTAGGTTCAAGTCAAGGAAAACCAAGAAAACCAGAAAACCATGAAAACCACGGAAAACCAGAAAAACAAGTTGGCCGGGTGCGGTGGCTCACGCCTGCAATCTGGGCACTTTGGGAGACTAAGGTGGGTGGATCACGAGGCAGGAGATTGAGACATCCTGGCTAACATGGTGAAACCCTGTCTCTACCAAAATAAAAACAACTAGCCAGGCATGGTGGCTCATGCCTATAGTCCCAGCCACTCAAGAGGCTGAGGCAGCGGAATCGCTTGAACCCGGGAGGCAGAGGTTTCAGTGAGCTGAGATGCGCCACTGCACTCCAGCCTGGTGACAGAGCAAGACTCCATCTCAAAAAAAAAAAAAAATAAGTAAATAAAATAAAAAGGAAAAGAAAAACAAGTTGTATTGAAGGAGGACATCATTAACAGTCTATCTCTTCAATAATGATTTATTTCACTATTCTCATTCTTCTCATTCCTCTCTTACAGTGTCCCAAATCTTTTTACAGGCTAAAAGAAACTCTTCAGAATGAATCCTATTCTTTTTGTTTCGTTTTGTTTTTGAGACAGAGTCTCGCTCTGTCACCCAGGCTGGATGCAGTGGCACGATCTCAGATCACGGCAAGCTCCACCTCCTGGGTTCATGCCATTCTCCTGCATTAGCCTCCAGAGTAGCTGGGACTATAGGCACCTGCCACCACGTCCGGCTTATTTTTTGTTTTTTAGTAGAGACGGGGTTTCACTGTGTTAGCCAGGGTGGTCTCGATCTCCTGATCTCCTGATCCACCTGCCTCAGCCTCCCAAAGTGCTGGGATTACAGGTGTGAGCCACCGTGCCTGGCCCAATGCTATTCTTAAAGAATACCACTTACTGACTATTGCATTTTCTTCTTCAAATTCTTCAGCATACATTGGGAATACACCATATGGACCATTTTTAAATTTTTAGTTTGGGTTTTTTTTTTGGCTAAAGAAAATGCAACTAGATTTACGACCTCATTCTATTAGGTTAGTATTTGTCTAGTAAACTTCAGCATAAGCAAAGTAGAATACATGTTGCTGCTCTGGACTGAAACCCCTCAAAACCATATTTTAAAAACTACAAAAACATTAACTGAAATCAAGTTTTTAAAAATCTTGTAGATGAAAAGATATGATATATAGTAGGTTTAAGTACCTATTTCAGTGGTTCCCAAAGTGCAGCCCTCAGACCCCCAGGTCCAAACTGTTTTGACAGGAATACTAACATGGTGACATTTGCTGTAAGGGTGCAGATGCAATGGTGGGTAAAAATGCTGGTACTTTAGCATAAATAAAGGCAGTAACACCAAACTACTAGTAGTCATGGTATGACTACTGTGCACGGGAAAGGTTTAAAGGTGTAAAAAGGAAGGGAGGGCCGGGCATGGTGTCTCACGCCTGTAATCCCAGCACTTTGGAAGGCCAAGGCGGGCAGATCACCTGAGGTCAAGAGTTTGAGAGCAGCCTGGCCAACACGGTGAAAGCCCGTCTCTACTAAAAATACAAAAATTAGCTGGACATGGTGGTTGCATGACTGCAGTCCCAGCTACTTGGCAGGCTGAGGCAGGAGGATTGATTGAGCCCAGAAGGTTGAGGCTACAGTGAGCTGTGATCATGCTACTGCACTCCAGCCTGGGTGACAGAACAAGGCCGTCTCAAAAATAAAAACAATGTCTATGATGAAGCAGTGAAAAATTTACATCTTAATCCTTGAATATATCTTTTTAATATTTCAAGTGATGAAATGGGAAGTATACATGAGCACACCTACAGACTGTCAGAGAAAAAACCCTCATGAGACTAAGTCATGAAGTGAATTAACCACTTTAATGGAATATCATTTTTATTCCAAAAGATGGCTGACAAAAAATGTTATTTCAGCTTGGGTTTTGGGAGACATTTTCTCAAAAAAGGAGATTCTGTTATTTCAAGGAAAACAACAGACAGGCCATAATAAATTTCAACAATACAATTGCTAATACTAAAACTCAAGCTTTTGAACAAAAAATTAGAATTTTAGAAAACTTATATCCACCATCGCTTTCCAAAAGTATTCTGATGAGACTGATGGTGATATTGATGAGTGTATTTTGATATTGTACAATCAAATGTATCAACATATAGAAGATCTCAGTGAACCATTATTTTTGAACTGAACTGAACAATGCATGATGTTATAATACCATGCAAGGGTAAAAGATCCAAAGTTCAAGAAAAATCAATTTTTGATGGAGTATCAAAAAAGAAGCCAAGGCAACATGGCAAAACTCTGTCTCTACAAAAAATACAAACAATTAGCTAGGTGGGGTAGTACACATCTGTAGTCCCAGCTACTCTGGAGGCTGAGGTGGGAGGATCACCTGAGTCCCCAGAGAATGAGGCTCCAGTGAGCCGTGATCATACTACTGCATTCCAGCCTGGGAGACAGAGAAAGACCCAATCTCAAAAAAAAAAAAAAAAAAAAAAAAAGAAATATCCATAATGATCTAAAATGGCTATCTGTATCAGATTGGCCTTTGTTCACATTTTTTCAAGCAAATATCACACAATAAATTGAATGGAAATGCAAATGACGTATCAAACATCAACGAAATTTGCAAAAGGTGTAAGATTGTACTACTTTGGGTTTAGAAATTTTCTTTTCATAAAAGCATTTATAACAAAATTTGGTGAGCTTTTAAAGAATATTCTAAATATGTCTGATTTAATTTCTAGTGATAAATACCAATAGATATAACCTATATACAGAAAAGCTCCTTGGGCCCTCAATATACTTTTAAGAGTGTAAAGGAATCCTGACCCCAAAACTTTGAGAACTGCTGCCTTCCCCTCCACTTTCTTCCTTCCCTAGAATTTCTTCCTTGGAAGAAACATTCCTTTGCCATTCTATGTTAACTTACACAGTTCTATTGAGGCCAGTTTTGCTACCTCTCTCCCATCTTTCCACATCCCGCTCTTGACACAAAACCTGACCAAAGGACTCTACCCGCCCACCTCATTTCCAGTGATTAGCTCTCAGGTGGGCTAAGCCAAGAAAATCTGGGTTTTCCCTGAGACTAGACCTCTCTTTCTGGGAGATATGGAATCACAGGGACAAGATTGGCCACCTAGGGATAGTCAGAATTCATCTTGCCTAAATGGGAAGAGGTTAGGCAAGTTTCTAGAATGCCAGACTGCTTTCTAGAAAGTCAAAGTTAATTATACTTTCTGCCATGACTGTGAGAATGCCCATTTCATTGCACACTTTCTGACATTTTTACCAATCTGATAAATAAAAGCTGGTACCTAGAAGAAAAAAAGGCTGGGTGTGGTGGCTCATGCCTGCAATCCCAGCACTTTGGGAGGCCAAGGTGAGTGGATCACCCGAGGTCAGGAGTTCCAGAACAGCCTGGCCAACATGGTGAAACCCCATCTCTACTAAAAATAGAACAATTAGCCAGGCATGGTGGCAGCCACCTGTAATCCCAACTACTCAGGAGGCTGAGGCAGGAGAATCACTTGAACCTGGGAGGCGGAGGTTTTAGTGAGCCAAGATCATGCCATTGCACTCCAGCCTGGGTGACAAGAGTGAGACTTCGTCTCAAAAAAATGTTTTTTTCCATACAATATAATTTGTTCCATCTCTAGAAACCAATTCAGCAATGAGAACTGAAAGCGACCACAGGGAAGGTTTCAAGGATTTAGCTCTACCTATTGATGTCTAAAGCATTAGTTAAGGTAGAAAACACACACACACAAACACAAACACTCACTCACTCACTCCTATGTATTCAGTACCAGAAAACGCGAATGACTAGATGGTATAGTCATCCAACACAAAGCACACAATAACTGAAGGCACTGTAGATGAGTAACTTATGACACGGATCTACAATATTGTTGAGTGAAAAAGCAGGTTACAAAAAAAATCTGATTTTTTAAGGGAGAGGGAACACACACAAGCAAAGGAGAAAAGAGATGAGCAGATGATGGGAAAGATACAAAATTCTGACAGTGGTACATTCTGAGTGGTAGAATTATTGGTATTATGTTCTAGTTTTGCCTAAAAATTTTCTAAATTTCTTAAGAAGTTTTTGTTATCCATATTATAAAATATCCATCACCCCAGGAAACTTAACCTTGAGCACAAACTCTACAACATGTTCAATGTTTTCAGTTTAATATTTAAGAAACAATCTATTTTGAAAGACATCTAAAATGATGACCAATATTTAAACCTATGCATTAATATTTTTCAATAGTATGCTTTATATTTTGTAATTTTGATAAGTTTAAGTTTTAGATCCATCTTGAAAAGATAAGTTTTCTATTTGTCTTTAAAATATTACCTATAATATGCCTGTTTTTAAACAGTGAATGATGCTCAAAAATCACAATATAAATTCAGGCAGTGTTCCTTCCATGGAATGTTTAAGTGTTCCTAACACTGTTCTTCTTCACCGATTATGAAAACACAGAACAATTATCTAAGCATCTGATTATTCAGGTCCTTTGTTTCTCCTCCATTCTGTTAGTTTTATACTAATTTCAAGGCCCGTGAGGATGAAGTTGTCTGTGACAGCTACCACAAAGGTTACCATCAGCAGACAAATTTCCAGCAAGTTTATCACCACTACCATCCCCACCATAAAACTGTCTCAATCAAGGGCAACACAATTCAAGGTTAGCCAAGACAACCTCTTTACCTGTCACTGCTTAAGAAAAGGATGTTTTGGTCTTATTTAGAAATAACTTTCTGTATCTATTTTTCTCCATAATTCCACTGAGACCAATGTGTGCCCCTATCTCAAGCACCAGCAAGCAAAACTGCCTGCTAGTATGTTCAGTTTTTGTATCTTTCCAAATGTAGGGCACAGCTATCTTTTGATATCATAATTTTTTGAAAACTGACGCACAAACTTCTTATTGAAAGTTCAGCCGGGCGCGGTAGCTCACGCCTGTAATCCCAGCACTTTGGGAGGCCGATGTAGGCAGATCACGAGGTCAGGAATTCAAGACCAGCCTGGCCAACATGGTGAAACCTGTCCCTACTAAAACTGCAAAAATTAGCCAGGTGCGGTGGCAGGTGCCTGTAATCCCAGCTACTCAGGAGGCTGAGGCAGGAGAATTGCTTGAACCTGGGCAGCAGAGGTTCCAGTGAGGCAAGATCGCACCACTGTACTCTGGCCTGGGTGATAGAGTGAGACTCCATCTCAAAATAAAAAATAAAAAAAAGAATTTCAGATATACAGCAGTTGTAATTCTTCTGAAGGCTGCTTATGGGACACATTACTTTCATACTTTGCTGTTCGATAAATGTGGGGTGGAGAATAAAGTAAATTGACAGAATTACCATATAAAATAAAATTCGAAGTCCTATGACAACAAAAGAAACTTAAAATACACACACACACACACACACACACACACACACACACACACACACACACACACACGGTTTTCCCTGCTAATCATTTTACAACAACCACGTAGCTAACCCAGAGCCCACAAAAGCAGAGTCAAAATTCTAACACTTGGTAAAATAAAAATGCACATATATCCCTGTCATCTAAAAAAAATGCTTAAGTATTCAAAGACAGACAGCAGTTATAGCTACTGAGAACATCATTGTAAGCAAACTGAGGCAGAGAAAACAAACGTGCTGATGAGGATTTGAAACACCTAAGCTGCAGAAACCCACTAGGTGGTTTCCTAGGTTCCGAGTTGGCATTATCTTTCAGAACGATCTTCTAGAAGAGATCACATAACACTGTTACAAAGGATCTGGAGAAAGGGACCCTGGCTTCATCACTCTGGCTCTCCAGTCATGCTTTACATTTTCACTTCTTACACTCTCTTTCATAGGAAGTCAATTTACAGGCCTCCATCAAGCCCTTAGAGACCTTTTTGTACTATCCATGACAAGTTCTTGATGTTATGTCTGCACTTCTGACAAATTCTTAGCAGTTAACTTACAAGGCAGTTAAGATTTTTGTTCAAGCACAATATAGCTAGAATAGGCTCATACGTTCAATAAAACAAATATTTACCAAGCATTTATTGAGTGGAAGATAAAAAGCACAAAGCATAATTATATTCTCCCCTGCCACCATAAAAAAATTTTTTAAAGCCTTATAGAATAAGGCATAACATGACCAAAGCAAAAATAGTGAGGACTAAAGAGGGGAGGAAGGGGAAATATCAGCATGAATTAAATATGACCCAGAAGAGCCTTGATGGTCAGACACGTAAAGACAAATTGGGTAGGGTTAGGGGGTGGCTGTCAGGGGCACATTCTACAGGGGAAAAATAGATGATACAGAAGCCTGAAAGAAAAAGCGGGCAGAGCACCTGGACAGGACTCTTACCTGCCGCATCCAGGGTACAATGCGCCTTTCCAGAACACAGCAGCGACCCGGGGTAGAGGGATCGCTCAAACAGCACCAGAGGCTGCATTCCAACTTTTCCTCCATCAACGAGTCCGTTTTCATTGTTAGTTTCTCCTTAAACACGATTGGCTGAACATGCGGGAACAAGGAAAACCTGACTGAAGAACGAGGCATTTAAGCTTAAGGGCCTTGGATCCGGGCGCGGTGGCTCAGGCCTGTAATCCCAGAACTTTGGGAGGCAGAGATGGGTCATTTGAGGTCAGGAGTTTGAGACCAGCCTGGCCACCATGGTGAAACCCACTCTCTACTAAACAACACAAAAGTTAGCCTTCCTCTTCTGCTTTTCCCAGCAGGAAAGGCCCAGCCTCACCTATGCAACCTGCAGCCCCCCGCCAACCAGTTGAGGCTCCCCTCTTAGACTTATATGTCTATGGCCAGTGCCATCTGGCTACCTGCCCTCCCTGCCTTCCCTAGGGTCCCTCAGAGGACCCTGGGTTTTCTGATGGCCCAGAGGGGCCTCTGGCGACCACTCCAGCCAGCCATCCCTTATAGCTCCACCATTTTGGTTCAGGCAGTGTTCCTTCTCTATCAGGCCTGGTGGCTGTTGGATGGGGCTCTCCAAGCAAGAGGTGGCCCTGGGCCAGTGGGTTGGAAGACATGGGGACCACAGAAGAGGGAAGCCCGAGGGAGCTGGCATTGGTCTGAACTGTGGGTGGATGGGTGGATTGCCTGGGTTCCATGAGACAGGCCAGCGTGTGTGGGGTGGGGAGGGCCGCCGCAGTCCCCAGGCACTACCTATGAAGCTCCGGCTTCTCCCTCCATCTCCCTCCCCTTTTCCTTCCAGCCCCTCTTTTCCAGGAACCTTGCCATGCCCACACCTACGCCCTCCCCTCCCCGGCCCTCCACAGCTGCTGCAGCGCACCCATA
Organism: Homo sapiens; assembly: GCF_000001405.40. NCBI lineage: Eukaryota > Metazoa > Chordata > Mammalia > Primates > Hominidae > Homo > Homo sapiens. Next base: position 84,361,660 of record NC_000015.10, on the reverse strand, counting down.
CTCTGCACTTGCCTCACCAGCTCTGGCTTTTCTCTAACCCGTTTTCTCTCTGCTTTCTCTCCAACTGCCAGCTGATCGGGTCAGGCAAGTCCATCCCGTCCTGAGAGCCCCAGGCCCCACTTCGACGTCTAAACAGATCCCTCTTCCCAGAGACCTCCCTTTCCAAGCCTGCCTGGGCGGGTGTCCTGTGACTTGACAGTGGCTCCCCCAGCCCCAAAGCCAGCCCCCTTCATCTGTGACTTAGTCTGTTGTAGTGGTGAGCTGACACGTCCAGGTGTGACCGTTGCTGAAAACTTGTGCCTCCTCTGTGGTATGCCCCTGCCCTGTTCTATAAATAGCTATAAATTCTCACACACACATACACAAACACACACACACACACACACACACACACATATATACATATATACACGTGGCCGACTGCCTCACCTCTAGCACTGGGAATCAGTCCCCGTGCTGTGCTTGTGGAGTCTTGTAGCCCAGCAAGAGGAAGCTGTCTCCTGACATCGCCCCTCCAAAGTGCACCACCTCCAGTGAGCTTCCGGGACATGCGCGGCCTGTGGACAGCCAGCCCCCGCCATCCCTCCCGCCCTTCTGGCCAAGCATGGCGGTGCTGTGCAGGCAGCTGTGTGGCCTGACAGTCTCTACCAGTCCTGCTGTCCCTCGGCTGAGAAACCCATTTCTGGATGACAGAGAATGTGTCCTCTGCTGGCTGTGTTCTCTATGGAGCTCAGGGGAGGGAAAAGGCCAAGCCATTTTTAGGGTGTTGTTGGGAACAGTGAAAAGGTCACACCCTTTTCAAGGGACACTTTTCCTGGAAAGTCCCTGGAGCTCAGCTGGCTCTTATCCTGTGAAGCCGGCTCTGGCCACTAGGGGACAGGGCCCTGAACTCAGCCTGGAAGGAGCCTGTGGGGCAGCCGGCACTCTGGAGGGACAGACAGGCCACCTGATGCAGACAGGAACGGGAGAAGGGGGATGGAACGGAAGACACCTGGGGTGGATGGAAGTCAGTGCCCTTGGGCACTGGTATCTGTCTTCCCTGCCACAGCTAGATCAGGCTTCTCAACCTGTTGACTGTCAGGGCCGGACTGTACTCCGTAGGTGCCATGGCAGTCCCCGTGAAATCCACCAGGTGTCACCAGGCAGCATACAGGTAACAGGCCTGGAAGATTCCCCACAGCCCAGCTGGACATGCTGAAACACTCTGGGGCTCCTCGTTGAGTGGGAAAAACTGCAGGACCCAGTGAGGGAAACGGGAACATAACAGGCCGAGCAGTATGGCTAAATCCATTTATTCCAAAATCAAAAGCAAAACAACAACAAACCAAAAACAGGAGTCCCGTCACCAGGGAGCCATGACCCCATCCCCGCCTCCTTCCTCGCTCCTATGCTAGCAATAAATAAGTTTCCCAGCCGCGAATAATTATAAGAACCTCTTCCTCATATGCCAGCTGCAACCTCCGCTAGGTACGATACAGAATGTTACACAGCTACAGTATGTACACGGGGGAAGGGGGGCCACCCCCAGCAGCCTGTGCCCTGGCCTGGTCTACAGTTAACTCCACTGTCCCGCCTCAGCTGCCTCTCTGAGTAAGAAGATGGGAGCCCCCCTGAGGGAAAAGTTGCTTTGGTGAGAGTAAGAAGGCCGTCAGACCTCCTCCAAACAAACCAACTCCACCAACCTCTGGCTCTTAAATAACAAACATCATCATCCAGAAATGTAAGGACTCAGCCTTGGTCAAGGTGGTAAAGGGTCTGTTTGTCTCCCTCCATTAGACAAGGGTCTTGTCTTGCTACCCTAATGGTAAAGGGCTGACTGGGGAGGGGTTGTAGGGACATGGTGGGGGTGAAGACTCCAGACCCACTTCTCCAGGCTTATGCTGACAGGGGCCTGCTTTTATTTATTTTTATTTTTATCCCATGACTTTTTTTAAATCCTGTAACTAATTTTTCATAACTTTTTAAAATAACTTTTCATAAAACTTTTTTTTTACTTTTTTTCCACAACTTTTTTTTGCCACTTTTCCACAGTATTTTTTTATCCTGTAACTTTTTCATCCCACAACTTTAATTCCTGTTAACTTTTTTAGTTTGTGTTCTTTTAATAAACACACTTACATAGTTACAATTTTGTAAGAATAAAAACCGATTACCTCATGCCAAGCATGCCGAGAATTTGCAGAGTCTCAATACCCAATACTATAGTTTTCAAGACACACAAAATTTTTAGGCAAAACAGCACCTTGAAACAATTTAATAATGTATTACATTACAGTAGCATCACAGCAGCAGTCAATAATGCCACTTTAGACAAAAATCAGTATTTCCATTATGCATTCTGTTTATAAGAATTCATAAATCGGTAAAAGTCATTCTAAGAAAACTTGGCAAATACAGCTTTGGACTGGAATTGGCATTTCTTTGTCTACTTTTCCTTCCCCTAGATTCTTTGTTTTAAACTACAGTATTCATATTTTAAAATGTTTTAAATTATTTTAAGACGTTAATATAGCAGTTACATTTTTGAATAGTTATTTGAAAGTGACTGTAAGATAAAGTTTTAGAGAATCTATTATGGATAGGGTTGATTTACATTTTCACATTTTCTAAAAATCAGCTTTGGTTTTAGAACTGATTGTTTTTCATTTTGGGAAAACCTACCAGGTTTAATCAATTACTTTAAAAATAATTATCATATTTTGCAGTCTTTAAATAGGTGTTTTGATTCTTTACTCCCTAGAGAAATTCAAATTTATTCAGTTGAAGTCACATTTTAAAATTCTATGTTCCTGCTGAACTCTAACCTTCTAATGTTGCCTTCTAAGCAAATTAAAGGCTGCCTTATACTGAATGAGGTAGAGAACAAATACTTGGCTGAATGAGGTACTGCAAAAGACTGCATGCACTTTGAAGAAAGACTTGAGTTATTGTCATAGGATTTCCATTCTCTTTAGCTTTTTCTTAAACATATGACAAAATACCTACACAAAGAGTCGTATTTGAATTAATATAGTATATTTATTTTTCAGACTGACATTCATCTTAAATATGCCAGTATGTGATTTAATCCACAGGTACCTGATGAACACATTATTGTCAGATTGGTTACAGTTGCTAAACGCTATCTGAAGGTCATTCCTATTCATTTATACGTGTCAGGGTAAAAGTGAAGCGATTTGAACTATAAAAATACCTTTGAAATAATTTATCAATGTATTAGATAAGCTCAGTTTCAGAATGATAAACAAAAACTGTTAGACCAAATAACGTGGCTAATTAACAGTGGTACGATTTCTAGCCCGAGGGTTTAAAATGGAGTTAAAGTAAGTGTCTTTAAACTGAACTCAAAGAATGCAAAAGCGGCAAGTTCAGAAAAGGCAAGAACAGGACCTTTAGTCCATTTTAAGCCATAAATATTACACAAAATATGCCTCTAACTGAAACTGAGAGGTATAAAAACATATTTCACTCTTCGTAAAGAACTTTGTGAGGAAATATAACTCTGTGATTGTATAGACACTTTCCTCATGACACTTTGACAGTCACAAACAGTAGATTGCGCTGCAGTTTGTAAACATTTTACGTTGCATAAACTGCTCCTTGATTTTCAAATGTAGTATAATACTGTCTACTAAAACTCCTTTTTGTTTCAACTAAGTACTCTCACATATATTAGTTTATAATAATGTTTGTTATTATTTTTAAAGTGTTCTCCATTCAAGGAAAAGAAGTAAATTCCTATGTCAGATGGTTGAAGACTAGCTATTAGCCAGAGAGGTCTAGATGGTAAAATCCATCTTCTAGCCTCAAATAAGCTCCATGAACACAGAGGAATGCCAGGTGTCACACAGCTTTCCTTCACTCGAATTCATTCTTGACTAGAGCCTGTATATGCCTGTTCCAGGGGCATTTAAACTCTTAAAGGATTTCTTCTGATCTTTACTAAATACATTAAGGAGAACGCCAACCAGTGCCCTTTTGTGTACTGGGACATGTAGTCATGTGATTAAAACAGGGAACATGAACTCTGACTTTAAAATGTATTGTAGATATAAATGCTCTCAGCTAGAAAAGGTTTTCCACATCCACAGTCATGATGGGAGCCTTTCATTCCTCAGAAATAATCCCTTTTCAGGTCATCAAAAAAGAGTACAACTGCCACAGCTCATGAGGCAGTATCTTCATGAGCCCAGAGCACATACAAATCCTAAGGGAACTACCGTAGTACAGCGCTCATTCTTGGCACCGGAACAAATGAAACATATTCTATCCTGCACACACCTGCCAAAGCAGGCCACTTTCCTCTTCTGGGAGATTTAAAAACCTCCCCAAAATGTTATTACTCCCATCCCCAATACACAGAAAAAGGGGGAAAGGCTGTTTCCAGTGCTCCACCTTTAAACAACTGTAAATGTCAGTACTCACAGTGGCATATTACAAAGTAATAGACCGCGCACTTGAGGGCAAACTGCATATTGAGCTAATGAAGAGCTCACTGTGATTAGGATTCGATCAAACATAACAGCAGAACATAAGGAAATTTTATCTGAATTCCGTAATGAATATACAGGCTGTACTAACATTAAAAAAGCATGGCAGCCTATCCCAAACCAGCAAGAACAGTTGTGTGCATACAGTGGGTCTTTGTGTGTTTGAACTCCCACCACATAAGGGCAAACTCGATATGCATGCTAACGTCCTATAATTATCAAATTAAAAAAATGCTAAAAGATGCCAGAGTGAACATGAGAGAAACACCCACTCTCATTTAACTTTTTACAAATAAATTTAAATTATAAATTAGAAACACAAATAAATTTAAACTATAAATTAGAAACACAAATAAATTTAAACTATAAATTAGAAACACAAATAAATTTAAACTATAAATTAGAAACACAAATAAACATAAGTGGCTCTAACATTCAAATGAAGTAAATGAATTGTGTAGGATATTAACCCCTTAAATGTTTTGTTTTTTTTTTTCAATTCCTTGACCCGCTCTTAGATGATGGTGATGTTTAGCTCCCTGTTCTCCGCAGCCCGAAAAGAATGGCATGCAGCCTCTCCTGCTCCTCCTGCCGCCTCTCCTGTACCAACAGCTTCTCCACTCAAGCCTGGGTGCTCCTGGGGAGTCCTGCATTAGAGGAAGCAGCTGCTGGATCTGCTGTGCAGTGGGGTTGTCATGGGGGAGAACCCTCCCTGTCCTCTCCCGGTGCAGCCTCCATGCTATCAGTGAGGCTCAGCCCACTAAGATCTTCAGAGAGAGGGAGGGGGGTGGGAATCTGGGCACAGTGCGAGCCTCCCCTGCTCCTGCCTGCCCACCCCGCCTGAGGGCTCTACTCACCACCCTGCTTGTCCGCACATCCAAGCTCCTTGTGGGACTGGGGCTCCAGCTACTGGTCTGGCTGCTGCTGCAGACTCGGAGCCTCTTGGCTCTTCAGCTCCACCTGCCGGAAGACCCTGGGCATGAGGACATGTGGTGGCTGGCTTCCAGATTCCTGGCCCATTAATAGGGTAGCGAGGACACTGTGGGGCTCTGTGGCCTGCCCAGGCCCCTGGCCCCTTGCTCCAGGCCTAAGAGACTGTCTCCCTTGCCTAGAACCCCATGCCTCCTTCCCTAGCATCAAATCTCACGTCCTTTTTCCCAGCATTTAAACTGTAGGCCACAGACTGGTGGAAAAGCAGGCGGAGCCAACCACCATCTGCTAAGTGTGCTACATGCCTAATGTTTCCACGTATTATCTCATTTAATCCTCAGCACCTCTGCAAGGAAAAGGCTAACTTCCTTTTGAAGTTAAAGAAACAGAGACTTAGAGATGCAAAGTAGTTGAATTATGACCAGTGGAACCGAGGCCGGAATCCAGTTTGAATCTAAGGAGTCTTTTTTGTTTGTCTGTTTTGTTTTGTTTTGAGAGAGTGTCACTCTGTGTCCCAGGCTGCAGTGCAGTGGTGCAATCTCAGCTCACTGCAACCTTCATCTCCCGGGCTCAAGTGATTCTCGTGTCTCAGCCTCCTGAGTAGCTGGGATTACAGGCATGCACCACCAGGCCCGGCTAATTATTATTTTTTTTTTAATTTTAGTAGAGATGAGCTTTCACCATGTTGGCCATGTTGGTCTCAAACTCCTGACCTCAAGTGATTGTCCTGCCTCAGCCTCCCAAAGTGCTGGGATTGCAGGCGTGAGCCACCACACCCGACATAAGGAGCCTCTTATACCACTGTCTCTTCCTCTGTGATTGGGGGGCTCCATGCCTCTAGCTGGGATGATGATGTCCAGACCTGGGAGGACCCCAGGGCTACCCACCTCTAAAAGTCAGAGGGCAGGAAGCAAGAAACAGTCATAGGACTGCCCCGGAGGGTGCTGGGGTCACCTGTCCCCAGGCTGCAGCTGCCTGTGGCCTGGCACCTCCCCTCCCCAGAGGCTGGTGCCCGCCTCCCACATCTTCTTGGATGGGTCGGAGGTTACAGTCTCTTTCAGCTCACCCGACTTCTTCAGCTCCTTTACTTGCTGCTCCAACTGCAGTGTGCTCTTGTTCTCGTTGTTCTGGACAGAGAGAAGCAATCAGTGGCCACCCACTAAAACTGGAGACCCCAGAACTTAGTGTCTGCCTCCCATGGCACCGGGAAGGGTGGAGGCAGGTTAGAAAAATATCCCCTCTCTCCCACAGCCATCAGAGCGGGGCTCTGGCTCACAGATGCCTTTAGAAGTACCATTTCATGTGAAGGCTACAATGCCCCATTTTACAGGTGGGGAAACAAAGGCCTTGAGGGCTAGGGAAGAGGGCAGCCTCCCCAGGTGGGGCAACGCACCAGCTCCTCGAAGCCGCTGCGTGGCTCGGCCCGCTGCTCGTACAGGGCTTCCCACCCCAGCTCCAGCATCCTCTCCAGCTCCCGCAGCCTCTCCAGCTCCCGCAGCCTCTCCAGCTCCTGCAGAGTCTCCTGCTGCCACAGCCTCTCATCCTGTTGCCGAAGCCTCTCCTGCTCCAGGAGCTCCTCCACCTCGTCCAGGAGCTCCTCCACCTCGTCCAGCAGCCTCTCCCTCTCCAGCAGCCTCTCCTGCTCCTCCTGCCGCCTCTCCTGTTCTAACAGCTTCTCCACCTCTTCCAGCAGCCTCTCCCTCTCCAGCAGCCTCTCCTGCTCCTCCTGCTGCCTCTCCTGTTCTAACAGCTTCTCCACCTCTTCCAGCAGCCTCTCCCTCTCCAGCAGCCTCTCCTGCTCCTCCTGCCGCCTCTCCTGTTCTAACAGCTTCTCCACCTCTTCCAGCAGCCTCTCCTGCCCTGGCAGCTTCTCCTGTTCACACAGCCTCTCCTCCTGTTCACGTAGCCTCTCCTCCTGTTCACACAGCCTCTCCTCCTGTTCAAGTAGCCTCTCCTCAACTCCTCTCAGGCTTCCCAAACTTGGCCTCACTGCTAATGACTCCTCACACCCGGATGGTAGCCAGTCTTCCAAGTCACTTTCAGATAGAGAGCACTGTGGGTGGCTGACAATGGGCACTCCTCCCTCTTTACTGATGGGGACACTGAGGCTCATGGAGATGACAAGACTTGTCCTCCCCTGGCACAGACCTCTTTCCCTCTGCCTCAAAGCCCTTCCATCCACCCACCTCCCTGGGGCATTCTAAGTCACCCCCACAGCCCTCTAATGCCAGTCCAGCTGCCAGGTCATGCCAGCCCCATCTTACCCGTCTGGTTTTTGAGTTTGAACAAGCTCCTCCCAAGCTTCTGTACCAGATGTATCTCATGCTTCTTCTCCTCCTTAGATGTGCGAACCTGCCCAAAGCAAAGGGGGAAAAGGGCCCTGGAGGGAGGGGCTGGTGAACCTCCAGAGACAGAGTTTGAGAAGGGCCCACCCCCCTTCTGCCAGTTTGTGATTTAGAAACGTGCATTCATTCAACAAACATTTACTGAGCATGTACAGGCCAGGTACAGTTCTTCATAGCAGAGATATAAAACAGCAAAGGACAGACAGGAGCCCTTGGCCCTGAGGTTTCCATTCTAGGGGCCTTTAAATCTCTGACTTTCAGAGCTAACCGAGACCTTTGATACTCTCTACCTCCTCCAGAAACACGAGCATAAAGAGGAGAGATGGCTTGTCCAGACTCAAAAAGCAAATTAGGGACTGAGGCAGGGCAGAAATATGGACCCCTGACAACCAGTCAGGCTAGTGCTTCCCAGAGAGGTGACAACCCCAGGGCATGTGTGGCAAGGACTAGAGCAGGGGTGTCTGGAGAAGAGAGAGTCAGCAAAGAGGGCAGTGCAGAAGACCCATGCTGCATGTTCTGTGCTCTGGGGTCCCTCCAGGTGAGACCTGGGTGCCCAGCTCCCCATTTGCCCTTGGCATCAGGGGCCCCTAGCTCCTTTCTTCAGGGCCCCAAGAGGAAACTGGAGTCCAGGATTGACCAGCTGTAATCAGGGGACCCCACTGGACTCTTACCAGTGAATTGATGTTTTCAGTGAGTTGACTGATTATTGCGGAGCTTGAATCCAGGGCCACTGCTAGTTCTTGGTACTGGCTCTGAGGTGCATGCAGAGAGAAGGAGTTGGAGGAAGATTGTGGGGAGGGGTAGAGAGAATAATCATTAGGGCTGGTGGGGGTGTGTGGGCTGCCTCAGCTGGCAGAGGGGCAACAAGCCCCTGCTGTGGGAGGAGGTTGGAGGGCTGGCCTGCAGGGTCACTGCACCTCGGCCCAGGGCCTCTTACCTCCAGATCCTCCAGGGTAGTAGAGGATGCACGGCCCTCCCCGTAGATACCTGTTGCTGACTGCAAGAGATGAGAGTGCACATGGAGATGTTCTGTCCCCCCTCACTGTCTAAGCCCTCTGACTTCCTTTCTTCCCCCATCAACTGGCAAAAGCTTCTTTTCTGCCTATCTTGGACCCTTTTTCCCATAACTCCTTTGTGCCAACTTCTCTCGTGGTTCTTATCTCCCCACCATCCCACCCTGGGGCCCTTTCAGTGACTCCTAAAGGGACAGCCTGATGGCAAGTGGCTCTTCTCATTGGCCTGGCTTCCCCTTGAGACTGGGGATGAGGAAAATCAAACAGCAACGACCATTTCCTCGGTGTCCTGGGTGTTTGCAGCAGGCCATGTACTAAGGATTCACATAAAAGCAACAATAACGAATCTCATTTAAACTTCACAAATGGAAGTCAAAAAATACCACCTCTATTATACAGATGTGAAAAGAGAGGCCCAAAGACCTCAAGCAACTTGCCCTAAATCATATGCTAATCAATCCCTAATCAATTCTTAGCAGATGGAGAGGCAGGATTCAAATCCAGAATTCTTAACCAGTACCCAACAGTCCATCTACAATCTTAACAATTACCCTCTACTGCCCCTTGGGCCCCCTGTCCCCAGGAGCCTGGCCCGCCGAGACTCACATCCCCAGGTGAGTGGTAACCACCAGAAGTGGCTGTGTCAGGGCTACTGCCATTGATTTTCTTTTTCCTGTTAGCTCCTGCTGGAATGCCAGGGCTCTTCCTCTGCCAATATGCTTTTAACTGTGGGAAAGAAGAGCGGTAACACTCATGAGAATGATCAGCCCCTACAGCCACATCCTCCTTTACAGTTTTGACAAAATACCCTTATATACCATCTGATGTAATGCCACCAACAACTGTACAAGGTGTTGTCACAATCACTTAGTGACTGAGAGGGATTGATATCATGGATAGAAAAAAAAAAAAAAGAAAGATCAAAAAAGGCAATACTGGAACTTAAACTCAGTCCTCTGACTCCAAGCTCTGGGGTTTTGCCATGAATCAGCAGCTTCCAGGGACCAAAACCAGGGGCAGAGGTAGAAAAGTAAACATTAAGCAGGCAGGAACTGTAGGCCGTGTGGTTTAGAGTCATACATCCTCACAGGTCTGCTAGCGTGAAGAAGCGTACCAGTACCTCTCACACTTTCATATCAATGTGTCCTCATGGCAGAAGGCAGCTTTTCTATTAAATCTGGGAATTTATCAGAAAGAGGACAACCCAAGCCTCATTTCAGAGCGAAGTCTGGTATACGCTTGGAAACCTATGTGTCTGTCATCCCTAAGTACATTAATGCATTTTCTCAAGAGAATCAAGGGGAAATGATGCTTCAGAAAGATGTCCCACATTTATCCTGTGGCACTCAAAGTACCCCAGGTTGAGACGATATGAGGAAGATTCAAGCTGTCAAGTTCAGTTTCCCAAGATCTATTCCACAGAAGATGAGCAAATCTCACTTCAGAGGCCACTGACTGAAGGGCAGTCTGGTCCCAGAACCGTGGAGAACTCAGAAAAAAATGTTAAAGTCTCTCTGGAAAGTAGAAGCCTGGGAAAAAACCAAACCAAACCCATTCTCCCATTGCCACCCAGAGATACTGTGAACATTTTGAGCTCACAGGGGAAGTGTAGGCTTTTCCCACTGTCAATGTCTATGTTAAGGGAGTAAGGCAGCCTGAAACCTCTTGCTCCTAGGTCCCATAGTCTCCACTCCCCTTCCAGCTGGAAATTTGTGCTGCAACCAGAGGAACCAGAAATGGGGTGAGAAAACTTAGGGGACTGGGTTGTAAGATCAAAGGCCGGTCTTGCAGCAGTAATGACAGTTCCTAGGGGCACTGTGACATCATTGCATTCCACTCCTCCCAGGGGAGGGGACCACATCAGCGCGATGCCCGAGTCGCTGCTCCACGATGGGGGAGGGAAACACACGGTTTCGACCCAGGTCCTCAGAGACGCCAGCCCAAGAAGCCTAGGGAGGTCGAGCTTGGGGCAGCAGGAGGGGAGGGCAGAGTCTGCAGTAGGGAGCCCCGGGAGTCACCAGCCCAAAGCCACCCAGGGATGACTGGTGAGGGCAGGGCCTGGGGCTGGGGGACCCAGGTCCTGGGAGACGCAAGCCCAAAGAGCCCAGGGAGGTTGGGCTTGGGGTGGCAGGAGGTGAGAGCTGATTATGGAGCAGGGAGCCCCAGGAGTCACCTGCCCAAAGTCACCCTGGGGTGATTGGCAAGGGCAGGGACTGGGCTGCTTGCTGAAGGGGTGGGGCTGACTGACTAGGCTTTGGTTGGGGGAGCCCAGAGGGGCTGGGGTTGGGGGGCCCCATCTGGTATGCCTCAGGAGTGGTATGGACTCTGGCACAGGTCTTGTCATCGGAGGGGATCTGTGGCTGGGTTGGGGGCCATGACCTGGTGTGTTTTACCTTTTTCTTGGCTGCGGCCAATTTCCCCTGTTGTGTTTTTTCTGACATCGCGGGGTGGGGAGGGAGGCGGGGTTGGGGCCACATCAGCGAAATACCAGTGAGCACTGCTCAATGCCTCCAGTCACCTACCAGGCAGCTGTGCAACTGAGCCACAGGTGGCGTAACCAGGGCACCAATGGAACGCAGAATAGGGGCGTGGCCTTAATGCTCCAAGCCCATTGGTCAGTGAGAAAGATGAAAGGGAAAGGAGGCGTGGCCAGGCAGCAGCATGTCCAGAGGGACCTGTGGCATCATAAGGAAAGCTGCCCATGCAACCGCTGTCCCCGCCCACTCAGAGAAAGGGGAGGGGCCGCCCACTCTGGGAGAGGGGAAGGGCTGGGTTTTGCTTTAAAACTTTTAAAACTGTAAAAAATAAACTTTAAAAAATATATGTGTATATACTTTATATATATGTGTGTCTGTGTGTGTGTATCTATGTGTTCCTCCAGAGCTGTCTTCATTATGCAGCTTCTGTGCAAAGTCTGTGATTTTGGCCTATATTTTTCATCTTCAAATGGAGTACAAGAATTACCAGTATTACCTTAACTGAGATATAGATCCTATAAAAATGGAAAATCCATAGCATGCTTGATGATTAATGAAGCCGACTATAGTATCCGACATTCCAATAAGACAAAATAATCACAACAATTTCTCTTTTTTGGAAAAATGTTTGTCTTATTCTCCTACATTATTGTTAAGATTTCTTTTAAAAACAAGAAACATGTCTAATATCTTTAAAAACACAAAGCTTTTGGGCCGGGTGCAGTGGCTCACGCCTGTAATGCCATCACTTTGGGAGGCCGAGGTGGGTGGATTGCCTGAGGTCAGGAGTTCGAGACCAGCCTGGCCAACATGATGAAACCCTGTCTCTACTAAAAATACAAAAACTAGCCAGGCGTGGTTGCGGGTGCCTGTAATCCCAGCTATTTGGGAGGCTGAGGCAGGAGAATCACTTGAACCCAGGAGATGGAGGTTGCAGTGAGCCAAGCTCACGCCACTGCACTCCAGCCTGGGCGACAGAGCAAGACTCCATCTCAAAAGAAATAAAATAAAATACAAAATAAGTAAGAACACAAAGCTTTCAATTTAATAACCACTTAAAGCTCTTTACTGGTTTAAGAGAATTACAAGGCCCATTTTTCTAGAATCACCTGGCCTCTCTAAGCCTTGCAAATGAAGCTGAATTTCTCACTTGATACTTGGCTCTCACTTGCAGTCATGAAAACCAAGAATTTGTTATGTCACTGTGTATTGCTTGTTACCTGAAATCCACACTAGGCTGGGATCAAGGGTTGAATCTTTCATGATTTTCTCCATAACCTGTGTGCTTCTTATCCCACACCAAACTAAGCTTTTTTTCTAGAGCTCTGCAACTTACAGTTAGTATATGAGAGCAGTTCTCAAAAATGTAGTCTCTGGACTAGCAGCTCCAGCAGCACCTGGGAACTTCTTATAAATACACATCCTCCGGCCCCACCCTGGACCTGATGAATCAGAAACTCTGGAGTAGGGCTCAGCAATCTGTGCTGCAGTAATCCCTCCAGGTGTTCAAGAACCTCTGGCATACAGCAGGTAGAAAAATGTGTTTCCTTCTGTAGGTCCAAAACCAGGGATACTATATGTTTTCTCTATATGAAACAATGACGTGCAATTAAAAGACATAAATCTCCTTCCTGCTCCCACCTTCCAGCCAATGTGTTTTATTTTTATGAGTTAAATAAGAAAACAATCAGAGATTTCGTCTAAATCGCATATTTACAGGTATCAGTTCTCATCCAGCCTGATCTTATCCAATATCATTTATATTCTCTTACATGTGAAGTTTTAGAGAAGGATCTTCACAATGTAAGACTCAGGCACACTAGCAGTTCTGTAATAAAACACCAAGTAGATCAGAATGTCCAAACTTACTGGAGAAGAAAAGTGGAATCATTGGCTATATTTTCAAATTGCAATAAACAGGATATTAAAGTTTTGAATTTTTTTCACCTTCATCCTTCCACGTTAATAGAATTAAGCCAAAATACTTGTCTTCCAAAGCCTCTAGCCAGGCAAAATTTTACTATATTACTTCTTGCTTTTCAATGGCTATAAAGCAGACTCCTGGTAGGCACATTTGGTATACCTGCAAAGATGAAGAACTAAACAGTTCCATCTGTTCAATACTGAAACAAAAGTCCTGCAAACCTCGGATGGTGAGTGTAATACTTCAGCACTAGCACCAAAGCCTCAAATATGAAAAGATACCAAGAACACCACTAGCAAACAAAACTAAACTCTCGGCTGGGAGCTCTAGTTCATGCCGTAATCCCAGCACTTTGGCAAGCAAAGGTGGGAGGATTACTTGAAGCCAGGAATTCAAGACCAGCCTTGGCAGCATAGTGAATTCACACCTCTACAGAAAGTTTTTAAAATTAGCTGGGTGTGGCAGCACACTTCCTGGGGCAGATGTGCCATTGCTGGAAACTTCTCTATGGAGAGTACCAAGTACTTCTACCTGTAGCATTTTCCCTGGCTGGAATCCTGCAATTATCACAGTAGCCCGAGATCCAAGAAGGCAGAGCAGGAGCATCCTGTCCCCTCCCCAGCAGGTGCAAGGGAGGCTGGGGGGTGAGGCACAAGCCCGTGGGAGGGTGAGGAGCAGGAGGGATGCATGGTGAGCCTCTGTTGACTGCTTGCTGCCTCAGCTGGAAGGTCAGGACCAAATGTCTATTACAGGTTAAATTACAGAAGTATTTCAGATTTTGGATTTTTTTCAGATTTTGGAATTCGAAAATCTGAAATCCAAAATGCTCCAATGAGCATTTCCTTTGAATCTGGCCTTCGAACATCATGTCGGCACTCAAACAGTTTTGGATTTTGAAGCATTTCAGATTTTGGATTTTCGGATGAGGGATGCTGTATTATCTTCTGAATGAGGCCACTCATTCAGGAAAGCCCAGAGCTTGGGGACGTGGAGCTGCAGACCAAAGAGGTGATTTCTGTAGTGGCTTTCAGTGCGGAAGGGCCTACAAAGTGGTTTAAAGCAAGCCACAAAATAGGAAACCCAATATTTAGCTAATGGAACTCTGATAAAACCTGCTCAAGATGTCTGTCTCTACTAATTCAGATGGAGCCAAGCCAAAGCATCATTATTATTTTAAAAAGGCACCAATCCCTCTGCAAAAGCACTGAATTATATCATGATACAATCATCAATTGTACCATGAATCACCATCAGCGGTGGTCTTTTAGGGATATGAAGAAGGGGTTTTCACAATACATCGCATGACACACCATCTTCCAAATCTCTAAACATTTCTCTCCACAGCCCAGTCCTCTCCATAGTTGTCCAAATCCCTCCCTCTTTTCTCTTGTTGTCTCCAAAACTCAAAACCATGCTCTGACTTTCTATATCCTGCCCTCCCCTTCTTGGACCATCTGGGAAGCCCCCTGCTTCCCCAGGGTGTCCCCTCCTCCCCTTCTGGGATCAGTCATCTTTCCTCAAATGGACCAGTTCGGCCTCTCTTAGTTTCTCCAACTCTGCATCTCAACCTTTCTCCCTTCACTACACAATAATGTCCAGGAGGCAAAGAGCCCACAAACCTGGGAACCTCCCTTTCCAGAAGGGAGGTTCTGGAATGACTACAAATATTTGGTTATGATTTTCTTCCCTGCCACGCCTGTTTTCATGGGCAGTGCTGAGCCCCGGTCCTGGCAGAGCTCAGAACCAGGCTCTCATGAGCTGGGGCAAGTGGGGCCTAGGGAACCTCTGGGTTGAGGACCTTGCACCCCACTCTGCAGCTGCCCTGCTGATTTGGCTCATGCAACCTCTCCTCCTGGGCTCAAGTGATCCTTCTACATCGGTCTCCCAAGTAGCTGGGATTTGGGCTACCACGTTTGGCTAATTTTTGTATCTTTTAGTACAGATGGGGTTTCACCTGTAGCCCAGGCTGGTCTCGAACTCCTGGGCTCTAGTGATCTACCCTCCTCAGCCTCCCAAAGTGCTGGGATTACAGGTGTGAGCCACTGCGCCCGGCCTTGTGCCAGCTTTTAAATATCAACAAGGACAAATTAGAGAACAGTGGAAGAGGGTGAGCAGCATGATGAGGTGATACAGAAATAATTTCACATGAAGAACTGGGCATGCCTGGCTTTTTTTTTTTTTTAAGCTATTCTGGGTTGGATGCTGAGGCTCACACCTGTAAGCCTGTAATCCCAGCACTTTGGGAGGCCGAGGTGGGTGGATCACCTGAAGTCAGGAGTTTGAGACCAGCCTGGCCAACATGGTGAAACCCTGTCTCTACTAAAAATACAAAAAATTAGCTGGAATTGGTGGCATGTGCCTGTAATTCCAGCTACTCGGGCAGCTGAGGCAGGAGAATCGCTTGAACCTGGGAGGCGGAGGTTGCAGTGAGCTGATATCGTGCCATTGCACTCCAGCCTGGGCAACAAGAGTGAAACTCTGCCTCAAAAAAAAAAAAAAAAAAAGAAAGAAAGAAAAGAAAATATATCTATGCACCAGAGCTCAACACTAGGTTAGGAGCATTTCTGAGATTTGGAGCTATTCAACCATGGAAGTTCCTGGCACATACATCAGGTATTCACAATACCCTTTCTCAGGTGTTTGGTCACTGCTAGTGAGCCTGCCTGGATCAGTGTTTCCCAAATGGCAGTCATTTGCATCTTTGCATTTTTTTGGGGGGGGGGTTGTGGGGGTATATACCATACCAGATTTTTTAAAAATTGACATTAAAAATACATGTATAAAATGTGTAAAGTGCACTAATCTAAAGTGCACTGGATGTATTTTTTATTGATGTACATACTTTTGTTATCCATCACCCAGGTCAAAATACAGAATCAGCACCACAGAGGGTTCCCTCCTCCTCCTTCCCAGCCAATAATCTTCTCCTCCTACCTAACCAACTGTTCTTACTTCAATCACTGTCAACTAGTATTTTACATTCTTGAACTGCATATAAAGTGTCTCAAGTTTCACTTAACACTTTTCTTGAAATACACTTGTTTTTTGCCACTTTTTATTTGACCTAAGAAGTAACATTAATGAAACAATGATTTGACGTGATAGGCATTTCCCTCCTAATGAGCACTAAAACACTTAACTATTTGAAAAAAGAAGTTTCTCCGTGTACCAGCTAATATATTCTCCTCGGCCGCCGTTGGTACACGGACCACATTTTGTTTCTCAAAGCAATCCGATGATTTCTGAGGTCCTTTGCAGCTTGAACACGGAACGACTGTGGTGATCGAGTAGCCAAAAGTTCACGGAATGCACTGTCACAATTGTGATTCCGCCATAGCGCCGTGCATCCATCCAACACTTGTTTAATACCTATATTTAATACCTAATACCTTAGACTGTCCTAGGCTGTGGACACAGAAGACTAAACCCCACTTCCTGAGTTGAAGTGGGGGAAATAGAGGAGTAAATCATTTCACGATGTGTGGTTAAATGCTACAGCTCAGGTAACCACGAGCACACAGAGAAAGGGCAGTTTCTAGAAACAGGGCGGAGAGGAGACCGTGAGTGGGCATTTCCCAGAGCAGTCTCTGCCAGCCACCCTGCTGTGATCACTTTGCCACAGAGCAGCCCCGGCGGTCAACCTCAGCCTCCCTTAGCAACCTGAGCGCCCCGCCCAGGTGCCTTACTATTGGTCTCGTGGAGCGGGATGGGCAGCTCTGCCGTGCAATCCCAGCTCGCAGCCCTTGCTCCGCGTGTACTCACGGGAGGACTCGCAGACGTTACTGCCCTCTTGCGTGCCCCGGCCACCCCCGGGCGGCTTGTAGCCGGTGCGCGGGGTGGCTGGGGCTACGTGCAGAGCTGTCGCGGAGCCGGAACAGCAGCGGTGAAGCCCCTCGGCTCGGCCGAGACCGCCGTGCCCATTGCTCGCCTCGGTTGCCGCCGCTTTAGCCGCAGCCGCTGCTGCCGCCGCCGGGGGAGAGGCAGCCTATTGTCTTTCTCCGCGGCGAAGGTGAGGAGCTGTCTCGGCTCGGCCCGCGGGGGAGCCCCGGGAGCCGCACGGTGAGAGCGCAACTTAGTTGGCGGAGTTGGGGGAAGTTTTGTGATTTGAGGAGGGGTCGGGGTGCGGAGCGCGGCCCGTCCCCTGCGGCCGCTCGGTGGGGCGGGCCCCAGAGGAGGGTCGGGGGCTGCGCGGGGCTTCAGGGGCGGGCGGCACGGATGGGTAGCCGGGCGGCGCGGGGACCTCAGCTTTGCGGACCCCTCCTCCCTGCGCATCACCCTTCTCCCGCATTGTCTGCTTGGGGCTCGGCGCGCCTCCCACTCCGCAGCCCAACTTGGGGGCCGTCGCCGCTTTCCGGATGGGGGGCGCGCCCGGCGGCGGATGGCCCCGAACCCTTGCCCCGGGTCCCCGGGTTGGCGCCGCTGGGGCGGACTCACTCCTCCCCTGGGGCGGGCGGCCGCGGTGTGGAGTCCGCGCCGCGAACAAGTGCTGCGGGCGCGAGGGAGCGGTTCCCCGGGGCCGACGCGGACGGTAAACCTGTCCGGCGGCGCCCGCCTGCTGGGGCCTCTCCGCTGTTTCTCGCGGGCGCGGCCCGGCTGAAACTGCGACCGTCGGAGGCGAGCGGCCCTCTGGGACCCGTGCAGCCGGTCCACCTTGCAGCTATACTTTGAGACTAAACATTTTTTTTTTTTTTTTTTGCAAAGGCAAACCGGTATGTGAAGTTGAAAAAAGCAAAAACCCTCAAATTTTCCTTCTTTCTTCTTTTTTTTTTTTTTTAAATCAAGAAAGGGGGTAGATAGGTTTGTTTTGTTTTGGAAATAGTTTTTATAGCAGAGTGATACCGTCACATTTAATGATCCTACTGTGAATTCAAGAATTCACGATGAAAGTTGGATTGAGCGGTATTTTGGTGTTCATTCTTTGCTGATACTCATTAATGAAGTTAGTTGGAGAATTTATTGCTTCAGTACAGTAAAAACCAGTGTGCCTTTTTTTTTTGTTACTACTCCCCCCTCCCCGCATTGTTTTATTTTTCGAAGAAGCACTTTATTCAGTTTTTCTAAGCCACGGGATTGCCCAGATGAGGACCAACGGTGCAGTTCTTGAAAGGTCATTATTGGCAAGTTTGTGAGGGAGCTAAGATGAGTTGAGATAAACCAGTGTTACTGTTCTTGTATTCTGTCGTGGACTCTTGGGGATTTGCAGGCTGCATTAAGTACAAGTCTGGTCCAGTTTTGGGTGCACGTATTCCACTGAATTTGGTTCGTCTGGCTTATTATATGAACATGATTCTGTTTCACTTCCCCAGATGGAACTAGCTTAAATGTCTATCATTTATAGTGACAAATGATCAAAATGGCTAGAGTGTCATTTATTAACTTCAGTTGTAGTCCTTTACCTTACCTTCTGCTAAATGAAAAAGAAAAATTTGACAAATACTGTGTGCGTCAGTTTGCTCTGAGTGATTTCTCGTGCTAAGTGAGTCCTTTGGAGAAGCGTTCCTGGGCTTTTCTGGTTTGGTGGGCCTTGTGTTATAAAACCAATTTTCTTCACCTGATGAAGCTAAAGACAAATTTTCTTCAGGCACAGGCATTGCCCTTTTAAACTACAGAGCCACTTGTAGGATTCACAATACTCACTCAATGGCTTCCCTTCCTGGCAGTGTGGTTTTGTGTGTGTGTGTGATTGTGGGGAAGGAGGCTGACAGAGGTTGGAAGGGATTGTCAGGGAGGGACATCATGTAAGCAAGTACTAACAACATAACGTGACGAGGGCACCAGTTGCTTTCCTTCTGTGGGCGGTGATGGCATGTTATACTGTAGGTACTATTGTTGTAGGATTTCTCACAGTTTGTTTGCCTTGACTAAATGGTAACTGCACACATACTATACTATAAATGGACTCCTCCTCTAGTCCTTTAACTCCTTGAGGGCTGTGATAGACCTTATTTAACTTTGTACCCTCTTTGCCAGTGGTTTTAACATAGTGCAGGCACGGTATGTGTTTGAATTGGGTAAATTACTTTTACTGCCTAGTGGTAGCTGGTGTACACAGGAGAGGGCCACCAACTCTGGGGACTTGTCCAAAATGACAATTCACTTGCAGATCTCTGATGAAATTTACTTTAAAAGGACTTCTAACCTTTTTTTTAATCTGTCGGTTATTTTTTGAAAAGAAGTGGGGCTTAACTAGTGCTCTAAGGATTTTAACAAGAGATTCCGATTTAGAAATCTGTTCCCCCTTTTGGTGAAATTCTTATTTTTTTTAGAGTCAGAATCTTCACTGTTGCCCAGTTGTCTTCCTGGGACCCAAGCCGTCCTCCCACCTCAGCCTCCCACAGTACTGGAATTACAGGCGTGAGCCACCCCACCCAGCTGGTGAAATTATTAAAATTGTAGTGAAAACTCTGCCTCCATTGTGAAATTGGAAAAAAATTAGAAATTTTAGAAAAAAGTACGCCCTTTGGAGCTAGGTAGAGTTCAGATCCCCACATTTCCATTGAGTAGTTGCATAGCCTCTCAGAGCTTCAGCTTCCTACTCCTTAAGGGTTAGTAACATGCTTTGCAGTGTTGTTAGGAATCAGTGAAACTGTGTGAGATACTTAACTGCAGTATCTAACATGGAGTAGGTAGCTATTTCCTGGTAGCTGTAATGATAATAATTTTGATACGTTTTTACATGACTTAAGCATTCTGAAAAGTCTGATGCTTCTGAGTATGGAGGCTTAGCTATTTCTTTCATAAAGAAGGGGCCCTGAGACTTGTGAGTCTTATCCAAATGCGTTTCTTCAAAGGTGTCAGATGAACTGAAGGATAATGGAAACAATAGCAAATTTATCTTCTCAGTCACCTGTGAGTCTTCCTTTGAGAGTGGGACTTGCAGAGTACTTGGTAGGGTAGAGCTCTTTGTGACTATGCTATTTAGGAAATGGTGAGAGATGGATTGTTTTCAGTACATCAGTCATAAGAGGATATGAGTGAGTTCCAACTTTCCTTATTTTACCTTAGTCTTGACAAATAACAAGTATGGATTATGTCTGTATTTCTCAGACTTGTTTAAGGTAGAACTGGACTGGGTGTTAACAGTGTTAGTTCAGCAGAGACATGAGCAAATCACTCACTTCCCCTTCAAGATAACACTTTAAAGGTGCCACCATTTGCAGAAGAAAGCAGTGATTTAAAGCAGCTATACTAGCACAGTTTAGAATACTTACACTAGCTGATGGAGTAGATACATTCTAGAAATATTTACCTGTAGTGGGAGTTGAACAGTGAGAACACATGGACACAGGGAGTGGGGAACATCACACACTGGGGCCTGTTGGGGGTTGGGGGGCTAGGGGAGGGATAGCATTAGGAGAAATACCTAGTGTAGATGACGAGTTGATGGGTGCAGCAAACCACCATGGCACGTGTGTACCTATGCAACAAACCTGCACGTTCTGCACATATACCCCAGAACTTAAAGTATAATAATAAGAAAGAAAAATAAATATTTACCTGTTAAGGACATTTCTGTGTATTTTATTCCATCTTTCCAATAGTTTTCTTATGAAGAGATTATAGTTAACCTTTGAACTTAACAGATTGAGAGGGTAAACCTTTAAAAAATATATTTGGTCACACTTACAGACTGAGGGTAAAAACATTCCTGACAAAGCTAGGCGAAGACACTTGGACTTTTTTTTTTTTTTGAGACGGAGTCTCGCTCTGTCACCCAGGCTGGAGTGCAGTAGCACGATCTTGGCTCACTGCAACCTCTGCTTCCCCGGTTGAAGCGAATCTTCTGCCTCTCCCGAGTAGCTGGGACTACAGGCACACGCCACCATGCCTGACTAATTTTTGTATTTTTAGTAGAGACGGGGTTTCACCATATTGACCAGGCTGGTCTTGAACTCCTGACCTCGTGATCCACCCACCTCAGCCTCCTAAAGTGCTGGTACCCCCGTGAGTGGGACCACTGCACCCGGGTGAATCTTGGACTTTTGATGCTTCCTTCTTTTAAAGTTAACATCTAGCACTTGAATAGACTTGGTTATTACTGATGGGGACAGGCATCCATTTGGAAGTAGCTTCCCTCTCTCTCTCTTTCCCAGGTTAGGCTGTCTTATTGCTGTAAATGGGGAGAGAAGAGAAAGCCGTGGGTGGAAGAAAGTGTTTCATGGCCTGGTGCGGTGGCTCATGCCTGTAATCCCAGCACTTTGGGAGGCCGAGGCGGGTGGATCACTTGAGTTCAGGAGTTCAAGACCAGCCTGGCCAACATGGTGAAACCCCGTTTCTACTAAAAACAGAAAAATTAGCTGGGCATGGTGGCGGGCACCTGTAATCCCAGCTACTTGGGAGGCTGAGGCAGGAGAATCACTTGAACCCAGGAGATGGAGGTTGCAGTGAGCCGAGATTGCACCACTTCACTCCAGCCTGGTCGACAGAGCGAGACCTTGTCTCAAAAAAAAAAAAAAAAGTGTCCCACTCAGTTGCCCAGGCTGAAACGCAGTGGCAGGATCACTGCTCACTGCAGCCTTGAACCAAGCGATTATCCCACCTCAGCCTCCCAAGTAGCTGGGATCACATGCATGCACCGCCATGCCTGGCTAATTTTTTTATTTTTGTAGAGACAGGGTCTCTCTATGTTGCCCAGCCTGGTCTCAAACTCCCGGGATGAAGCAATCCTCCCACCATGGTCTCCCAAAGTGTAGGGCTTACAGGCGTGAGAGCCTGCTGGGGTTTTTGATTGACATTGCATTGAAACTGGAAATCAGTTAGGAGGCAACTGACATTTTAATAATGAGCCATGAACATGGTATATCTATTTATTTAGACCTTCTTAGATTTTTTGTCAGTGTTTTGTAGTTTTTAGCAGTTGGATCTTGCTTGTATTTTGTAATCTTACACATTTATTTCATGTTTGTGGTACTGTTGTGAATGATACTTCTCAATTTCCAGTTGGTGATTGCTAGTATATAGGAAGGTGATTTTATGTTATATGCTGACCTTGGATTCTACAACCTTGCTAAACTCATTTTTAGTACTAGAAGCTTTTTTGTAGATTTTTGGAATTTTGTGCATAGACAGTAATGTCACTGGCAAATAAGGGCAGTTTAATTTCTTTGTTTTCACTTTGTATGCTTTTATTTCCTTTTTTTTTTTTGAGACGGAGTTTCTCTCTTGTTGCCCAGTAAATTAGCCCATGTAAATATTTCTGTTTGTATCTCTTGAAAGTAAAGACTCTTTTAACCATGGATGAGTGTCTTGATCAAATCAACATGGCTTGTTCATGTCGATACCATTTGCTCAGAGGGGAAAGATTAAGGGAAAAATGGGGTTGGATTTGAAATGCCAGGACCTGTCTACTGGGTTTGTGATTTGTTATTCTCTAAAGTTGTAGCTCTTAAAACAAAGAAAGGAGTGAGTTTGGCCTATTCATTAACTTTTACTCTTTAGACAGTTCAAATGTTTATTGAGTTCTTCTACAGGGCGAGCCCTGCCTTCTTCATGCTTACCAAGAAGCATTTTTACGCGGTTTCTCTAATGTTTGGGTGAACGGTACCTCACTAAGTTGTTTTTCACGCACGTGCGTGCTCGTTCCTGAAGAGTCCTGTCCAGGTGCTCTGCCCGCTTTTCCTTTCAGGCTTCTGTATCAGCTGCCGTTTCCCTATAGAACGTGCCCTGACCTCCACCCCTTAACCCTAACCAATTTGCCTTTACATGTCTGACCATCCATCAAGGCTCTTTTGGGTCATATTCAGTCCATGTTGATATTTCCCCTTCCTCCCTTCTTTAGTCCTTACTATTTTTGCTTTGGTCATGTTTTCTTACACTGTATTCTGTAAGCCTGTTTAATTTTTTTATGGTGGCAGGGGAAAATATTTTATAATTATGCTTTGTGCTTTTTATCTTCCACTCAATAAATGCTTGGTAAATATTTGTTTTATTGAATGTATGAGCCTATTCTAGCTATATTGTGCTTGAACAAAAATCTTAACTGCCTTGTAAGTTAACTGCTAAGAATTTGTCAAAAGTGCAGAGATAACATCAAGAGCTTGTCATGGATAGTACAAAAAGGTCTCTAAGGGCTTGATGGAAGTCTGTAAATTGACTTCCTATGAAAGAGAGTGTAAGAAGTGAAAAAAAGCAAAACAGAGTAGATGTTTTACTCTGTTTGCCAAGGGATTTGTGCTATTTTTTTCCTGTTTTATAAATTTGTCCTAATCTTAAATAATGAAGGGAAAAGAGCACTCTTTTTCAACCAAGGAATCCTTTTTATACTTCTTTTCTGTGAAGCCATGTTATGAAAGATTGTTATACAAACTTAAGTATAGTTTTTCCATCTTCAGTAACAGACCTGATTGCCATCTAGTTACTGGTTCTGATCACACAAGAATGCAAAGCAGCTTGTTCTAATAACTTGTGCAGGCCTATTGGGAACTAGTATATGGCTTTGAGTCCTTTTGAAGTATTTAACATAATTTGGCAATTCCATTACGCCTTTTATGGACTTCTTGGCATCTATGAACTCTTGGTAGGGAATCACTGTTTTAGAATGAAAAATGTCTCCCAGGAAGTAAATTAGCCGGTAAACAAATGAAACTTCATTTTTTATATGACTTGTAGAGCATAAATTATTACTCTTTCTGCATAAGTGGCTGCTTTCTAGGCTGCTTTTAGCGAGATTGTTAGAAACAAATGATTGGTGCTGTGAGGAAGAAGCAGCACTCAGGCAAAAAAGTTTTCTCAGCAAGACAATTTGCTTCTGCAAGTATGCTGCTTGCATTAGTCATGATTGCAAGAGCACACCAAACGGGGTGGAGCAGGGGTTCTTATCCCTAATGCACTCCCTACCTCTGTGTCATTCCAACATGGGCTGGGGTAGGACTGCACAATCTTAGCTGACTCAGCTGGATATTGTGAATATTTTCTCTAATAAGAAAGGGAGGGGGAATGTGAGTTACAGATTGGGGCTGGTAGGAAGAGTTGTTTACAAGGCAGGTTACTAAGCAGGTAACTAAGCTGGTAAGTAGGGTCGAGAAGGTACAGGGAAATTGTTCTTAGGAACAGAGAACAAGGAAGTTGAACAAGTTAAACCTTTGAAGAGGAACTTACTGTACCTAACAATTCCCCCCTCTTAATTTTTGTAATTCTTCCTCTTCAAACTTTTTTAGCATGTCTTTGCTTTGCTGTTCTGCTTGGTTTTCTAGAAGGAAAAGCTTATCTGAATAGGGTGGAGGAGAGCTAAGAGAGGTTTTGGTAAGTTCTGTGTCTATGAGTCTTTGCAGTAGTCCACAAATGTATGGTATGATACAGCATCCAACAAGAATAAGCACACCTATAACGATTGCAAGAGAAGTAAATATTGAGGACATTAAGCCTTTCCATTTTCCAGACCATTTCTCCATTAAACTTGTAAAGGGATCATTTATTCCAGAATTGCTTGCTAACTCATTGGATAAGGAGGTTAGGTCCTGCAAAGCTTTTGTTACTGTTCCGTCAGGGGCTGTGTTATTAGGAATAAAAGTACATCATTGGACTCCAATCATGACACAGACACCACCTTTTTCTGCTAGCATCGTATCTAGGGCTATCCTGTTTTCCCAGACTATTTAGTTAATGGGACCTAATTGGGAGGCTGTTCCCTTAATGGCATGTCTTGTGTAGTTAACAAACCTTTGTTGGTTGTAATAAATGTAGTTTATCCGATCTACATTTTTATTTACAGTTGACCACCAAAACAGCACAGATTCAAATCCTGAAGCTGTTTGATTTCGGGCCTTAAATTTATCTGGTACCCCTCGTGGAACTCCAGTAGCATCTTTATAAACGTGGGAGTCAAAGGACCCATGAAGGTCACTTCTTCTCTTCTGATTTTCTCTTCTATTATGTTAATGGAATGCTAGGGTGAAAGGGATGGCCAGTTGGACTAGAGCACAAGTACCACTCCAGTTACTTGGCAGAGTGTCCAGTAAGGGTCCACCACAATACCACCATACGTATGCTCGAGGATGAACAAGGGCAGACTGACTGGTAAGCTCTTGGGAGAGTTTAAGTTCACCGCATCCCTTTAGGTCTTCATGAAATGCCAAGTTTTCCCCTTGTTGTGAGAGACCCGAGGTAAAAATTGGTGTCAATAGATGGAGGCTGGATGGCCCTCAGGGACTGACCTGCAGGGTGTTGGACTTTAGGGAATAGCAGAGAGAGAGCTTGGCAAGATTCATTACCCCAGGCTGTGGGGTCTTGGAGAAGAGCTACCATACAGCTCATGCCCAGTTGGCTGGAAGACCATCCGAGTGGAAAGGGGACAACCTGGGCCTCTGGCCTACTGTGCGCACAAGTGTAACAGTTGCTTTTGTTTAGAGTGCGGACAGAATATTTAATCCATTCTAACCAAGCATTTGCATCTTGGTACCCTGTCTCAGTTGCTATGGTTTGTTTCAAATTTTTAACTTCTACAATGGCTTACCTTGATTTTATCCTTGGTTGAAGGAAGAACAGCGGTTTCGTTGAGAGAGAGTGTAGAAGGAGGTGGAGGAGGTGAGAAAGTAATGAAATGCATTTCAAAGGATTCTATAAGATGTGTCCCTGCTATTTTGGCTCCTATGCCGTATAAGCGACTTAAAGTAGGTTTAGGGTTGGCAGAAGTGGGGATAAGAATAGAAATTTGCACTGGATTACATTGGTTATACTGGCAGTCAGGGGGTGGGGAATGTTTCCTTTAACAAAGCAAACATGGTTTTAGAGACTTACAACTGCCTGTTGACAAAGCCCTGATGTTCAGTTGTCCACATAATATCATTCCAGCTGTGGCAGGCCTGTTTCCCTACATTTCTTAAGGAACAAGAGTCGTAATGGGGGAGGCTTTTGTCTGAAAGGGACGGAGATACTTCTCTGAGGCTGAGAGTTGCTTTTGACTTTGGAGAGCTCCACAGGATATAACAAGGCAAGCATCAAAGGTAATAGTTTGGGGTGAGCTCGACCTAGTTACATTAATAACGAGAGGACTAGCAATAGAAGGGGAAAAGAAATATAGCATAAGAGGATCAAACCCGTTTTAGCTTTAACTTGGTTGGAATTGGCCCTGAAATAGCTGTCCATGATTCTGGAGTGGGTGGTGCTCTTTTGACTCAGGTATGGTGAGTCCATTCTTTTTCAGTGGTGTGGACGGCTGTCTCAGTCATTAGAAACACTAGATAATGTCCCTCCCAGGTGGGCTTGAGCTTCCTTTCTTTCTGACCTTTGATGAGAATGTGGTCACTGTCCGGGCTGGTGGTGGTGAACTGGAAATTCAAGGGGTGGTGTATGTGCCAAGAGGCCTTTAGTCCTAAGGAAAGAGAAAGTGGAGGATAGACCAAGTATATAGTTCTTGAGAAACAGATCTTTTGTTTCGAACGAGGAATGTCAGCAGTGGAGTGTAGATAAGGCAACTCATACAGCATTTCATAAGGAGGTGAGCCGACATCTTTCCTAGGGGCAGTTTGGAATCTTCACAAGACCATGGGGAGGCATTTAGTCCATGGCAACCGAGTCTCTAGGACTAATTTGGTTAGGTGGTTTTTCAGAGTCTGATTCATTCTTTCTACTCTTCCTGATGAAGGTGGGTGCCAGGGGTTATGGTAGTCCCATGTTATATCTAGTACTTGGGCTAGTTTCTTAAGAACATGTGCAGTGAAATGAGTCCTGTTGTCTGAATCAGCATTTTCTATTAATCCAAACCTGGGTATAATATTTTCAACTAATGCCTTGAGTACATTACTAGCAGTTGCACTTGAAAAGGGAATAGCTTCTACCCAATGAGTAAGGTGATCTATCACTAATAAATATTTTAAGTGACCAATTGGGGGCATTTCGGCATAATCAATTTGGACAATTTGGAACAGCCTTAATCCTGGATTTCTCCCTCCAACAGGTGGTTTTCTGAGGATCTGCTTATTAGTCTTCTTACATACTAGGCAACTATCTGTAACTTGTCTTGCCAAAATGTAAATTCCTATACATCTGTAGACCCCGAGGACTGCATCACACTTAGCTTGAGGTCCCTAATGAGTCCCTTGATGCAGATGAAAGAGGATTTCCCTCATGAGGGGTTTGGATAACATTTCTCTTTGGTCTGGTGACACCCATTTCCCTTCTGAATTTTCTTTGGCTCCTATTTTTATTAATTTTTCCTTTTCAGCGGGAGAAAAGATGGGGACTGCAGTCGAGGGAGGAAGGCAAGGGGCTAAGTGAAAAACAGGCATTTTCAGAGGAAACGGCAGTGTGTTTGGCTATTTGATCTGCTAGGTTATTCCTTCCGCTTTGAAAAGAAAGACCTTTCTGATGTCCTGGAACATGGACAATAGCTATTCTGGCAGCTGCAGGTTATCTAATACTTGGGTGATTAATTCTTTGTGGCCCAGGTCTTGGCCTTTGCTATTAATAAGATCTCGTTCAGTCCAAATTTTTCCAAAGGTGTGAGCTGCCCCAAAGGCATACTTGGAATCAGTATAAATAGTCCGTTCTTGGTTTTGCAAGTGCTTTAAGGCTTGATTTAATGCAAACAATTCATTCACATGTTTGGGCAGACCAATTATTTGGCAGGCTTCCTGACTCTACTTCTTCAAGTGCCTCCCCATCTACTACTGAGTACCTATTACGCCTTTTTCCTTCAATTACTTGGGAAGAGCCATCTATAAAGAAGCCCTGCCCCGTTTTGTAAGGGGTCTCTCTTAAATCAGGCCTAACTTTTGTATGATCATTAAATCTAAACACTCATGCTCAGGTCTCTTTAGATTTGAATCTCCAGTCAGGAAACCTCTGGGTTAAGTGAATTATCAGTGGTTAGTGTTAAATCATCTCTTTCTAACAGGATAGCTTCATACTTTAAAATTCTCAAGTCAGTAAGCCACCTTCCTGCCTTTTAATTTAAGATGGCTCTAACCTGATGGGGCATGTTTACAACTAACTTTCCCCCAAAGGTTAGTTTTCTGCTTTCTTTAGTTAACAAGGCGGTAGCTGCAATGGATTGAAACATTCAGGCCATCCACAGGTTACTGGATCTAAAACTTTTGATAGGAGATCCATGGGTTGCTGGTGACCTCCGTGTTCTTGGGTAAGGACCCCTAAAGCTACCCCCTTATTTATGTTAACAGAAAGGTGAAATGGCTTTTCTAGGGAAGGCAAAGCTAAAACAGAGGCAGTTATAAGCAGATGTTTTAGCTCCTCAACCTGGTGGAGTTCTTCAGAAGTCCAGAGGAGAGGGTCAGGCTTTTCTTGGGTGATTTTTAGGTAGAGAGGCTTTATGACAAGGGCATATGAGTCAATCCATAAGCGGCAATATCCGGCTATCCCTAGGAATTTTCTGAGTTCTTGTTTAGTCTTAGGCAAAGGTATGGATACAATCCCTTCAACCCTCTCAGGCCCTATCCTTCGTTTGCCGTTACTTATTAAGTGTCCTAGGTATTTAACTTCAGGCTCTATGAATTGAAGCTTTCTCTTTGAAACCCATAGCCCCTCTCCTTACAAATGGTTAAGGATATGGATGGAGAAAGCAGATACCTTTTCTATAGCCTAACCGGATATTAATAAGTCATCTACGTACTGGAGCAGACATATACATTTTGGGGTATAAACTTGTTCTAACACTTGTTCTAGAATTTGACCAAAGAGATTAGGGGAATCTGTGAAGCCCGGGGGTAGAGCTGTCTATCGATACTGTTGCTGTCATCCAGAATGGGGATCTTCCCATTCGAAAGCAAAAATGTCTCAGCTGTCCTCATCCAAGGAGCATGCTCAAAAGGCATCTTTTAAACCTATTACTGTAAACCATTGATGTTCATATGGAATTTTACTGAGAATGGTTTAAGGATTAGGGACAACAGGATGGGTAGTCTAGACTGTCTGGTTGATGGCCCAGAGGTCTTATGCTAGTCGACATGACCTATCTGGTTTCTTCACAGGCAGTATTGGGGTGTTATAAGGGGACATACAGGGTTCAAGGAGCCCATCCTTGATGAGGCTTTCAATTACAGGTTTCAGGCCTATTCTGCCTTCTAAAGGAATAGGATATTGCTTTCTTCTTACTATTTCTCCAGGGGTTTTTAACTTTATATGTATAGGGGGAATTTGGAGTTTTCCCCAATTTCCTTCCCTTGCCCAAACATCAGGATGAATGTATGTTTCTTCTGCAGTGGTGAGCAGGTTTAATGAAGTGTAGAATCCTTCTGAGCCAATACGTAAACCTATACCTAATTTTAACATTAAGTTTCTTCCTAATAGATTAGTTCCTGCCTCTGAAATTAACAAAAATTCAACATTAGCTGAGCAGTTTTTACATCTAATTTCTGTTTCTTTTAAAATTTTTAGTTTGATTCCCTCTCCTTTTACCCCTGAGACTACAAGCTCCTCTGAGGACCAGGTTATATTGTGGGGGAAGGTAACAAACAGAGGAGCAGGCTGCTCCTGAGTCTACTAAAAAGGTCATAAGCTCAGATTTGGGTTCCACTTCTAAATTTATCAAGGGCTCTTGGTGGGATTCAAGGTAAAAGAGACAGAGCCCCTAACCCCCCTATTCCTCCTCAAAGGTCGTAAGTGGGACGACTTCTCTTTCTGATTTTAATTTGGGACAATACCTCTTGAAGTGGCCTACTTTCTCACAATTGAAGCATTGATTCTGTCTCTTCTCTCTATTTTTGGGTTTCTCGGCTTTGCCTCCTTATGTTCTTTATATGGCTTAGGAAGTGGGGGCCTAGGATCTTTATAGGTTTTGGCTCTCGGGAGGCTTTGTTTGGGAGTGTGTGGGTCTCTGGGTAACAGAGAGTAATACTGGTGTGTTTTATCCTTTGGGGCCCCCTGTTGGAAGGTGGATAACATAATTTTCATTTTTTCTTTTTGCTTCTCCTCATCCCTCCTTACACACACTTTCTGAGCTTCTCTAAGAAGCTCGTTCGTGGGATGGTCCTTCCAATTTCCTATCTTTTGTAATTTCCTTGTGATATCTGGCTGTTAGTAACAAAATGAAGCTTTAACATTCACTGCCTAAGAGGATCTTCTAAATCTAGGCCAGCATATTTTCTCATTTGTTCTTTCAACCTGTCTAAAAGTTCGATAGGCCCTTCATCTTTCCTTTGTTGTATGTCGAATGCTCGAGTAAGATTTTGGGTTCGGAGTACTGACTCCCGAATCCCTTTTATTATCATTTCCCTAAGTTCTTGCGTATCCTCTTCAGTGGGCTGCGTTATTATTGTCCCAGCAGGGGTCTTGGTTGGGGAATTTTTGATCCGCTGCATGAATGTTTTGGCCAGGAGGGTGTTCATGTTCCCAGGCTACCATAGCAGCTCTACAGATGATGCTTCTTTCTTCCCCTGAGAAAAGGATGCCTAGGATGGACATTAACTCAGCCCAAGTATATATAACTGTGGTCCTAGAAATTGGTTAATTCGATCTGCTATTCCACTGGAGTTGTCTAATAGTGTGGCTTGAACTCTGTTTTTAGGTTTTGGACCTCCGAGCTGGTTAAAGGAGCATTTACAAAGTGAATACCTCCTCCTCGTAGGGACACCTCTCTTCAGGGGAAGAGAGGTGGAGCTAATTCTCCCGAGGTAGAGGGGAAGGGGAAGTTCTGAATATCCCTTTTACATTGCTCTATCTCACATTGAAGTCCTTTCAGGGAAGAGTACTTAGGGTGATAGTGAGCAGGCTGTTGGGACAATTCCCAAGAGGCAGGGTTATAAAGAGGGGGAACAATGTGGGTAGGAGAAGGGTCTGGGACAACTGCCTCTGCTTGAGGGGGAGGGAGGTTAGGGGTATTGGACGGGGGAAGGTGGTGGAGGAAGTTCCATGTGTTGGTGAGCTGTCTAGGAACAGGGACCTTATCTTTCTCAGAGGAGTTAATTTCTGACTTGCTTTTCAGGATTGATTCCTGAGTCCAAATGAAACAACAATATTTTATCATTTGCTGCTTTTTCTTGTATTTAGTCCTTTCACTCTCTTTCCAATATTTTAGCATAAGCCCTAGGGGACTATCAGGAGGAATGTTATTGTTGCTAGCTTTATCCTTTTTCTCCCCTGCATTACTTGAGGTATTTCCCATCTTGAAAAGGGATTGGGGTGAGGCTCAATTTCCCCTACTAGAAATTTCTTCCCAGTTACGAGAGGTTTGTATAAGGCTCAACCTCTCCTACTGGAGATTTCTCACCTTTCCTTTCCTTTCCTTTCCTTTCCTTTCCTAGAGGCTCAACCCCCCTGCTGGAGGTTTCTTGCACTTTTCTCCTTTCGCTTCATCCTTCTCTGGCTGCTTCCCTCACGGGAACGTTGGTTTCCTCTTAGCAATGGCTGTTTCAGTAGAAACCCCTGACCCAGACTCCTTTACAGAAGGGCTACCTTAAGCTGTATAAGGTGACCACAGAACTGCAGATCTGGACTGAACACTTGCTTTGCACTCAATTGTGAGTCTCAACACACACTTTCAATCTCCAAGATATCCCAACCACCAAGAAAATACTTTGTCGCTCTTGTGATGTTTCTTACGTTGGTCTGTGCACATAGTTACCTGGTCACCATGGTATGTGAGGATCCTTTTCTCTTAAGTTGTTGGTCTGTTCCTTTCCAGACTGCTGAGAGTCCGGGTTTATTCATCACACTGGGTGGGTCCTGATCCCTCACCATGAGGCCACCTCAATGAGGCAGTGGGATGCTTCTCCTCACTATTGGTGACTGGAGACCCTTTTCTCAGAGGAGAATGGGAATTCCGGACGAGCCCCCAGATTGTTAGAAACAAATGATCAGGCTGGGCGCAGTGGCTCGCCCCTGTAATCCCAGCACTTTGGGAGGCCGAGGTGGGCGGATCATGAAGTCAGGAGATCGAGACCATCCTGGCTAACATGGTGAAATGCCGTCTCTACTAAAAAAAAAAAAATACAAAAAAATTAGCTGGGCGCAGTGGTGGGTGCCTGTAGTCCCAGCTACTCAGGAGGCTGAGGCAGGAGAATGGCGTGAACCTGGGAGGTGGAGCTTGCAGTGAGCTGAGATCAAGCCACTGTGCTCCACCCTGGGCAACAGAGCGAAACTCTGTCTCAAAAAAAAAAAAAAAAAAGAAAGAAAAAAGAAACAAATGATCAGTGCTGCAAGGAAGAACCAGCACTCAGGAAAAAAAGTTTTCTCAGCAAGACAACTTACTTCTGCAAAAGAGTGCTGTTTGCATTAGTCACGAATGCAAGAGCACACCGAGCGGGATAGAGCAGGAGTTTATATCCCTAACGCAGTCCCTACCTCTCTGTCATTCCCACATGGGCTGGAGTCGGACTACACAATCTAAGCAGACTTGATTTGCTATCGCGAATATTCTCCCTAATAAGGAAGGGAGAGGGAATGTGAGTTACAGGTTGGGACTGATGGGAAGAGTTGTTTACAAGGCAGGTAACTGAGCAGATAACTAAGCAGGTAAATAGGGGTGAGAAGGTACAGGGAAATTGTTCTTAGGAACAAAGAACAAGGAAGTTGAACAGGTTAAACCTTTGAAGAGGAACTTACTGTACCTAATAAGTTTTTTTGATTGGCTAATTAAATGTCTATTCATTATTGCCAAAAAGTGCCTACCCCAACAACAAGATACCAAATTTTAGAAAATGTTGGAGCTCTCTCTGAATCTAGGAGGAAGTGAGTAGTTTAGCTTTTATTTAGTAGTTAGGACCTTAAGTAAATCACTTTTTTTACTGTGTTTCTGTATAACATAGATAATATTTTTTGCCCTGCAAGAGAGCATATAGAGGAAAGCTCTTTGGCAGCGATACTGTGCCCTATGAATAAAAAAGTGATGGTGTCATTTGTGGCTGAATAACAGTTTATTTTGAGAATGCTTTATAACAGCTTTTCATGGGAAATAAAGCAATGCTGTTAACTTCATCTTGCATTTTTCTCATTTTTACTATGATTAAAAAGTAGTCAGCTTGTACAAAGGAAAGAAACAAGCCTTGACTCAGGAGCCTAGGACTTTTTCTTTGGTTTGCCCTCCTGGAACAGATTACCTTTCCAAATTGAATTTGTGGAGGAGCATTGGGAAATATCAGAAATGTCATATTAAGCACCTCAGTGGTACTTTTAATAGAGGAGTTATTCAGAAATTATACTAGGCAGATAGAGAGGGTAAGGAGGCCTCAGTAAGGCTTTCCCTTTTAATAGAAACAACTCCAGAAACATTTCTTTTTCTTTTCTTTTTATCTTTTTTTTGGAGACGGAATCTCGCTCTGTCACCCAGGCTGGAGTGCAGTGGTGTGATCTCAGCTCACTGCAGCCTCTGCCTCCCAGGTTCAAGTGAATCTCCTGCCTCAGCCTCCTGAGTAGCTGGGACTACAGGCTGCCAAGCTTTGATATGCAAATGCCAGCGCTTAGAAACTGTGTCCATTCAACATGGAGATTCCCACCCTCTTCTTCTAGTCACCACCTCAAGGTGACACCTCCAGATGACCCCATGTGTGCAGGACAACATGGTGACCTACATTTGCATATTAAAAGGCTAGGGTGGGAGGGCCACGTTTTTCTCGGGCTACATGAATGACCTGCCTGGTCAAACCAATGCCCTGGGCCCTGTGCAAATCAGACACCACCTCCTCCAGCCTCCCAATATAACCGAGTACTGTTCTGCCACACACGGGGCTTTTTCTCTGTTCAGACCCCCTTTTTCTGTACCGCAGGGAGCCTTTCTTCTTTCTTGTCTATTAAACTTTCTGCTCCTTAAAACCACTCCTGTGTGTCCATGTCGTTTAACTGGCGTGAGACAAAGGACCCCGATGTTTCTCCCGTTTTCAGAGCCATATCACTTTGAGTCCAGAGGAATTATTTTCATTTATCTGACCAATTTATAATATAGGGTCAAATTCCTAGTGGTTATCCTCCCTCATCCCCATTTTTATACCCTTCCTTGAAAGGAACAGGTATATGAAGAGGAGACAGGTTTCCCTTTTGTGAATAGTATATCCCTTAGTATCTTGAATTTTTTTTGGTGGGGGTGGGGGGAGTTAAACTTACTTAGACCTGGTAAAGGGCAGTATTTGATAAATGTCAGCTAGTTTAGGGTTAGGGAATTGAGTTGAATGGAGATAGTCACTGCCAAATGTAAAGCATGACTGGAGAGCCACAGTGATGAAGCCAGGGTCCCTTTCTCCAGATCCTTTGTAACAGTGTTATGTGATCTCTTCTAGAAGATTGTTCTGAAAGATAATGCCAACTCGGAACCTAGGAAACCATCCAGTGGGTTTCTGCAGCTTAGGTGGTTCAAATCCTCATCAGCACGTTTGTTTTCTCTGCCTCAGTTTGCTTACAGTGATGTTCTCAGTAGCTGTAATTGCTGTCTTTGAATACTTAAGCATTTTTTTTTAGCTCACAGGGGTATGTGTGCATTTTTCTTTTACCAAGTGTTAGAACTTTGACTCTGCTTTTGTGGGCTCTGGTTTAGCAACTTGGTTGTTTAGTTGTAAAATGATTAGTAGGGAAAACCGTGTGTGTGTGTGTGTGTGTGTGTGTGTGTGTGTGTGTGTGTGTGTGTATTTTAAGTTTCTTTTGTTCTCAGAGCACTTAGAATTTTATATGGAAATTCTATCAGTTTACTTGATTCTCCACCCCACATTTCTTAAACAGCAAAGTATGAAGGTAATGTGTCCCATAACCAGCCTTCAGAAGAATTACAGCTGCTGTGTCTCTGAACTTTCAAGAAGTTTGTGCATCAATTTTCAAAAAATTATGAAATCCTTGAAGATAGCTGTGTTCTACATTTGGAAAGATACAAAAACTGAACCTTCTAGCAGGCAGTTTTGCTTGCTGGTGCTTGAGATAGAGCCACACATTGGTCTCAGTGGATTTATGGAGAAAAATAGGTACAGAAAGTTATTTCTAAATAAGACCAAAAATCCTTTTCTTAAGCAGTGACAGGTAAAGAGGTTGTCTTGGCTAATATTGAATTGTGTTGCCCTTGATTGAGACAGTTTTATGGTGGGGATGGTAGTGGTGATAAACTTGTTTGAAATTTGTCCACCTATAGTAACCTTTGTGGTAGCTGTCACAGACAGCTTCATCCTCACAGGCCCTAAAATTACTATAAAACTAATAGATTGGAGGAGAAACAAAGGACCTGAATAATTAGATGCTTAGATAATTGTTCTGTGTTTTCATAACAAGTGAAAAAGAGCAGTGTTAGAAGTACTTAAACTTTCCATGTAAGGAGCACTGCCTGAATTTATATTGTGATTTTAGAGCATCATTCACTGTTTAAAAACAGGCATATTGTGGGTCATATTTTAAAGACAAACAGAAAACTTATCTTTTCAAGATGGATCTAAAGCTTAACCTTATCAAAATTACAAAATGTGAAGGATATGATTGAAAAATATTAATGCATAGGTTTAAATATTGGTCATCATTTTAGATGTCTTTCAAAATAGGTTGTCTCTTAAATATTAAACTGAACAAACATTGAACTTGTTGTAGAGTTTGTGCTCAAGGTTAAGTTTCCTGGGGTGATGGATATTTGATAATATGGATAACAAAAAGTTCTTAAGAAATTTAGAAAATTTTTAGGCAAAACTAGAAAATAATACTGATAATTCTACCACTCAGAATGTACCACTATCAGAATTTTGTATCTTTCAGTCATCTGCTCATCTCTTTTCTCCTTTGCTTGTATGTGTTCCCTCTCCCTTAAAAAATCAGATTTTTTTTTGTAATCTGCATTTTCACTCAATATTGTAGATCTGTGTCATAAGTTACTCCTCTACAGTGCCTTCAGTTATTGTGTGCTTTGTGTTGGATGACTGTACCATCTAGTCTTTCGTGTTTCCTGGTACTGACTACATAGGGGTGAGTGTGTGTGTGTGTGTGTGTGTGTGTGTATATTTTTTTTCTACCTTAACTAATGCTTTGGACATCATCAACAGGTAGAGCTAAATCCTTGAAACCTTCCAAGTGGTGGCTTTCAGTTATTGCTGAATTGGTTTTTAGAGATGGAACAAATTATATTGTATGGAAACTTTTTTTTTTTTTTTGAGACAAAGTCTCACCTTGTCACCCAGGCTGGAGGGCAATGGCATGATCTTGGCTCACTAAAACCTCCACCTCCCAGGTTCAAGTGATTCTCTTGCCTCAGCCTCCCGAGTAGTTGGGATTACAGGGGCCTGCCACCATGCCCGGCTAATGTTTGTGTTTTTACTAGAGATGGGGTTTCATCATGTTGGCCAGGCTTGTCTCGAACTCCTGACCTCAGGTGATCCACTCACCTTGGTCTCCCAAAGTACTGGGATTACAGGCATGAGCCACCATACCCAGCCTTTTTTTCTTCTAGGTACCAGCTTTTATTTATCAGATTGGTATAAATGTTAGAAAGCGTGCAATGAAATGGGCATTTTCACAGTCGTGGCAGAAAGTATAATTATCTTTGACTTTCTAGAAAGCAGTCTGGCATTCTAGAAACTTGCCTAACCTCTTCCCATTTAGACAAGATGAGTTCTGACAGGGCCAGCCTTGTCCCTGTGATTCCGTATCTCCCAGAAAGAGAGGTCTAGTGTCAGGGAAAACCCAGATTTTCTTGGCTTAGCCCACCTGACAGCTAATCACTGGAAATGGGGTGGGCCGGTAGAGTCCTTTGGTCAGGTTTTGTGTCAAGAGAGGGATGTGGAAAGATGGGAGAGAGGTAGCAAAACTGGCCTCAATGGAACTATGTAAGTTAACATAGAATGGCAAAGGAATGTTTCTTCCAAGGAAGAAATTCTAGGGAAGGAATAAAGTGGAGGGGAAGGCAGCAGTTCTCAAAGTTTTGGGGTCAGGATTCCTTTACACTCTTAAAAGTATATTGAGGGCCCAAGGAGCTTTTGTGTATGTAGGTTATATCTATTGGTATTTATCACTAGAAATTAAATCAGAAATACTTAAAATATTCCTTAAAAGCTCACAAAATATTGTTATAAATGCTTTTATGATAAGAAAATTTCTAAACCCAAGGTAGTACAGTCTTACGTCCTTTGCAAATTTCTTTGATGTTTGATATGTCATTTGTACCTGCATTCAATTTATTGTGTGATATTTGCTTGAAAAAATGTGAACAAAGGACAGTCTCATACAGATAGGCATTTCAGATCATTATGGATATTTCTTTTTGCTTTCTTTCTTTTTTTTTTTTTTGAGATGGGGTCTTTCTCTGTCTCCCAGGCTGGAATGCAGTGCTATGATCACGGCTCACTGGAGCCTCATTCTCTGGGGACTCAGGTGATCCTCCCACCTCAGCCTCCAGAGTAGCTGGGACTACAGGTGTGTACTACCCCACCTTGCTAATTTTTTGTATTTTTTGTAGAGATAGGGTTTTGCCATAGGTATTCAAATAGAAAGTTTTGTTTTTGTTTTAGTATATAAAGAAATATAACTTTCCATGTTGGAAAAATTTTTAAAACCTTTTTTTAATTTTAAAACTCATAAGCAACCATTGTTGAGAAAATTGGTAAAGTACAGAAAA
Organism: Homo sapiens; assembly: GCF_000001405.40. Lineage (NCBI taxonomy): Eukaryota > Metazoa > Chordata > Mammalia > Primates > Hominidae > Homo > Homo sapiens. The sequence continues at coordinate 84,324,024 of NC_000015.10, read as the reverse complement.
GATAAAAGAAAAAAATTAAAGTCTCCCATAATTTCTCTATCTAATATAACCACTATTGACTGTTGACATGATGGTCATTTTCTACCAGTATATAGTTTTTCTTTGCTATTAAAATACATAACCCTTACACATATGCTTAATAGTTGAGGTCATATTCTCTATAGTTTTATATTCTTTTTTTTTTTTTTTTTTTTTTTTTTTTTGAGACAGAGTCTTGCTCTGTCACCCAGGCTGGAGTGCAGTGCCGTGATCTCGGCTCACTGCAAGCTCCACCTCCTGGGTTCCCACCATTCTCCTGCCTCAGCCTCCCCAGTAGCTGGGACTACAGGCGCCCGCCACCATTCCCGGCTAATTTTTTGTATTTTTTAGTAGAGATGGGGTTTCACCGTGTTAGCCAGGATGGTCTCGATCTCCTGACCTCATGGTCTGCCCACCTTGGCCTCCCAAAGTGCTGGGATTACAGGCGTGAGCCACTGTGCCTGGCCCTTTTATATTCTTTTAAAAAGTATTTACTGTATTTTCCTGTGATGTCATAGTCTTTATAGAAAATTTATCATTATTTTCAGTTGACATGATTGTTTACCTAAAAATATCCAAAGGAACCAACTGAGAAAAACAATTTTTAAGATTAGTGGTTAAAAGTTCTTTTATATAAAAATCAATAGCCTTCCCCAGTGTTAGCTATAATCACGTAGAAGATATAGTGATGAAGTATTTTTTCAGGTATTTCAGCAAAAATTAAATACCTAGGAATAAACTTAGATGTGCAGGACTTTTATCAAGGACAGGACAAAATTTTGCTGAGTGGAATGAAAGATTTGCATTCTATGTTCCTGGATGAGCAGATTTCATGTTATAAATATGTTAGTTATCACCATGTCTTCATATTAATTTGTAAATGTAATTTCTGCTGGGCACAGTGGCTCATACCTGTAATCCAAACAGTTTGGGAAGCTGAGGCGGGTAGATGACAATTAGCTGGGTGTCTGTGGCACACACTTGTATTTCCAACTACTTCTGAGGCTGAGGTGGGAGGAGCACTTGAGCCTGGGAGGCAGAGGTTGCAGTGAGCCGAGATCATGCCTCTGAACTCCAGCCTAGGTGACAGAGTGAGACCCTGTCTCAAAAAAAAAAAAAAAAAGAACTAGAAAAGTGTGTGTGTATATATATATATATTTCATATTTTATAAATATTTATATATATAAATTGTATATATACATTTTATATTTTATATATAGTGTGTGTGTATTATATATATACACACACACAAATTTCAGTACAAATTCTGGCAGATTTATTTTTGACACTTGACAAAACGACTCTAAAATTTGTTTAGAAGAATAAGTAATAAAAAGTAATAAAGTATAGACTCTTTCAACCAGATAGTAAATAAAATATTGTGGACTATCCCTGGGCCAGACAGATAAAGGCAATGGAAGTTTAGAACCAGAGTCATGCAAACGAGAATTTAGTATAAGGAAAAGGTGGTATTTTAACTTAATACTGAAAAGATAGATTATTCTGTAAATGGTTTTAGGAGAACTATTTGAGGAAGTCTGAGTCTTAACTCCAATTTTTGTCAAAATAAGTTAGTTGGTTTAAACACATCTATTCTTAAAAATTAGAACAGAAGAATATTGGTTTGAAGATATTTTAAGAGTTAAGGCTGAGGCTGGGCACAGTGGTTCACGCCTGTAATCCCAGCACTTTGCGAGGCCAAGGTGGGAGGATTGCTTGAGCCCAGGAGTTTGAGATCAGCCTGGGCAACACAGCAAGACTCTTTCTCTCTCTCTCTCTCTCGATATAGATATACATATAAATATACGTATACAAATAGAAAAAAAAAAGAGTTAAGTTTTGTATGGAGAGCCATGAAGATAAGAGGTAAAAATTAAAGGCTTGATGGACACATGTTTACATCTCCATCAAGGGGGTTGATGGGAAAGAATGATAGACATAGCTCCATTACTGCTACCTCCTTTTAGGAAGTTGCTTCTGAACATCTAAAGATATCAGTTTTATAATAGAAATGAGTTATTTTTCAGTGTCTAAAACATCACATGAGATACATACATACATGCATACATACATAAATATGTTCATAAAGTTAAATGAAATAGGATATAAAATTGGGCCTAGTGTTTAAAAGGTAAATATATTTACATGAAGGAGAAAACAACTCACCTCCCACTCTTAGAGCCTCTGCCAGTTTATCATAGCCTAGTTTCTTGAGAGAATAAGCTACATGTCTTCACCTTTTTTCACTGAGCTCATTATACTCTGGATTCTGCCTTCATCGTTGCACTAAAATTTATCTCCTAGTTGTCAAATCCAGTGGCTCCCCTCTTAGTCCCCAAATTGACCCCTCTGCAGTATTTTGATACTGTTGATTGTTCCTTTGTTGAAACATTCCTCCATTCTTAATGTCCACCAATAAAGAGTTGGTTAAATAAAAATTATAGTGTACCGTTTTATAATAGAATATTCTGTTGTTCTGTTGTGGACCAAAAAATGCAGCCAGTCTTTCCATAAGAGCACGTGCAAACTTCTAAGATATATTAAGTAAAAAAGTAAGGCATAAAATATTGTGTATAATCTGACCCCTTTAGTACACAGTGTAAAAACATCTGTGTCTGTGCTTCTTTATACTTACTTTTTTCTCCCCTGGTGAATACAGGAAACTGTGAATAGTACAACACAATTAAAAAAAAAAAAACTGTGTGTCTGCTGCACCAGGACCTGTGATAATTGGGTATAAAAGACAAAAAAGACATGTCCCTGTCCTCTGGGAAGGGACATGATAATCAAATGAGACTTCTGTCGGATTCTTTTCTCCTGTTTTGATCTTATCACCCTTTCTTGGTCTCCTCCGATCTCTTCTTCCTTGTCCTACTTCTTCTCTTCTCATTCTGTGCTTTCTCTGAGTAATCTTTGACTCCCATTACTTAAGTCATGACCTGTGTTCCAGGGACTCCTAAATTTGTATTCATCTCCAGAGTTTCAAACCCATATATCTGTCTGTATATCATATATTTAGGGAATCTCACTTGGAGTGACATGGGTGTTCAAAATGATGATATTTAAATTTTCACGTATCCATCTCCTAGCACTCTATCTAGTCACATATGCCTAAACCTGGGAACTGTCTTAATATTCTTTTATATACACCTGTTCTGACCTCCCCCCAAAACTAGTAAATTTCTAAGACCTGTCCTTCTGAATGTCTCTTACAATTTTTCCTGTGATCTCAGTTTCTTCCTCCCATCCCTCAAATGCTTTGTGTGTGTGTGTGGTGGGGGAAGAGAGTAAAATTGAAATTTGTGGAAAACGTACTAGCCTGTCTGTCTGTCTTTCGAGGTGAAGTCTCCCTCTTGTCCCCCTGGCTGGAGTGCAATGGCACAATCTTGGCTTACTGCAACCTCCATCTCCTGGGTTCAAGCAATTCTCCTGCCTCAGCCTCCTGAGTAGCTGGGATTACAGGCACCTGCCACCATGCCCAGCTAATTTTTGTGTTTTTAGTAGAGATGGGGTTTCATCATGTTGGCCAGGCTGGTCTCGAACTCCTGACCTCAGGTGATCCACCCGCCTTGGCCTCCCAAATTGCTGGGATTACAGGTGTGAGCCACCATGCCTGGCCACTACCCTGTCTTGTTGCTTGGTATGACTCCACTACCCTGCTGCCTCTCTCCCCGTACAGCAGCATAATTTAGGAATCAGAGAGACTGAGGAGGATATATATTATTAGGTGCACTGGCCCAGTCAGATTAACATCTAAAGGACTGAGCCCTGAACAAAGAGTCAGGTTACCTTTTAAGCATTTTGTGTCGGTCATTATGCCGACAAGGTGTCCGCACTAAGTTCAGTATCAGTATGGTGACCTCCTGGGAACAGGGGGCCATCGGGTTGCCTAAGGATGGGAGAACTGGCTCAGGTCAGAAGGGGAGCAGGTCAGAATTC